>NC_000013.11:73408106-73559621 GCF_000001405.40 Homo sapiens | reverse complement strand
AGCAAGGGAAATATCAAGGCTAAAACCATTTGAGACTATCTTTTTAGACATGAGAAAAGCCTGTGGGGATCTTTATTCAAGCTCTTCATTCACTACTCTTATGCTGAGCTATGGCTGACCATAGACTGCGGTGGTAGGCAGAAGAACATGGCAGGCAGAGGCCGGTTCCATCAGGCCTTAGACACCAAGAGCATCCAAGGGCCATGAAGCAATGAGAAGTCACTAATGAGTTTTAAGAAGAGAAGTAGTTTAGTTAGATTTGAATTTTAAAACAATCACTCTGGCTGAAGTGTGGATAATCAGTTAGTGGTATGCAAGAATAGAGGCAGGAAAACCATTGAGAAAACTATTAAGATTCTCCAAAATAAAAAGATGAATAAGGTCTGAACTAAGACACAGAAATGAGGACAGAATTGAGAAGATAGGTTTGGGAAATGTTAAGGAGGTAAAGCTTTGAACATGGAAGATGAAAGAAGGGATGAGTAAGAAAGTTGAATTTGGCACTGGGTTACTTTGTGGATTGACATGTTATTAACCAAGCTAAGAAAGGTGGTAGAAGCAAGTCTGGGAGGAAAACTAAGGATTTGTTTTTAGGCATGTTGAATTTCACTTACTTTGGTCTGCAATGATGGAGAAGAAACTGATCTGGTGGTATGCATTTGAGAGGGCTGAGCATGCAAGTGGGTGAAATGGGGGAAGGAATGAGATTTCTTGGTGTGTGCTGAGGAAAGAGGGCCAGGATAGAACTCTAGCACAATAGCACCGAAGAGGACGGTAGGGAAATGAAGCCCACTACAGGAAGCTGGAAAGTCAGAGAGGTAAAGGGAGCAAAAGAGAATGGTATTCTAGAAACCAAATAATGAGAGAGTTTCAAAAACAGTAGTATTAAACACCCCAGAGAAGTCAAGCAAAATGGATACTAAAGACTGAGGCCTCATATTCTGAGCTAAGGAATTAGAGGGAGTGTTAGTGTTTTTTGTTTTGTCTTGTTTTTTTTTTTTTTGTTTTTTCTTTTTCTGAGACAGGGTCTTGCTCTGTTATCCAGGCTGGAGTGCAGTGGCACCATCACGGCTCACTGCCGCCTTGAACTCCTGGGCTCCTGGGCTTAGGGTCCTCCCTCCCTCAGCCTCCCAAGTAGCTGGGACCAGAGGTGCATGCAACCAACCATGTCCTGCTAATTTTTTTTTTTTTTTTTTTGAGAGATGAGGTCTCACTATGTTGCATGGGCTGGTCTTAAATTCCTAGTCTCAAGCTACCCTCCCATCTCAGCCTCCCAAAGTGCTGGGATTACAGGCATGAGCCACTATGTCTACCAGAAGTGTTCTTAAACAGAAAGGATGATTGGCGTAAGAGCACAGGTGGTGAGAGTAATAATTTGTGATGAACAAGAAAGGGGAAGAAAAAGATTACCAGGCATCACTGAGTTTATGTTGGAGCCCAAAATTTGTAGTGGCAAGAGGAAATTGAACACAATTAATATATAGGATGTGAAGATGATGGATGCATGGATGGATGGATGGATGCATGCATGCATGGATGGATGCATGCATGCATGCATGGATGGATGGATGCATGCATGCATGGATGGAGAGATAGAGAGAGAGAGAGAGAGAGAGAGAGAGAGAGAGAGAGTGAGAGAGTCTTTGTCCTAAGTACCAAATTCACCCTTGTAATGATTGAAATACTGTGTTTTTTTCAGATACAGTGCCCCTTTTCACATGGACTAGGCTGAATAAATGCTAACCAATTACACAAACACATTCTGAACTATCCAATTACTGTTTTTATTAGTTACCAAAATCACAACTATCCTATAGTGAGTAGATCACAATACAATGAAGAGTTCTATTGACTGGACTGAGAAACAGGATGATCCCATCAGCAACTCAGTTATAATCCATTGCCCATGGGTTACTTTACAAACAACAAAGGCATCCAATTGCTGTTCTTCTAGAGTCTGTTTCACAGAGTGGTCTTTCCCTGACTTTAGGATAGGGACATCTTGGAATTGTGCTCTATCCAGAGCTTCCAGCCATTCTGCCTGTGCAGGAACCTGTGTTGAGGATGAGGGTGGCATGAAGCAAGGAGGACGGCTTATGCCGTGAACACTACTGAGTCACATTCAGAGAAAGGCTGAGGCGGGGGGAGCTCTGTGTCCTTCCGTGGGAATTCTCTCAATTTTAATCTCTGTTTTCTTCTGTATGAGTCTCTCCCTCTCTGAAAAAATTGTTCCTTCATTTTCCCCTCATTCTTCTCTTTCAATTATATCTTTGCCTACCTGTGACATTTTGTGTTGCAAAAAGACTCTGGACTTCTGGGCTAAATGATTTCTTGGAATTGCTAAGATTCTTTCTCTTGGATGAGGACTTTTCTTCCCAGGATCTCATGGAAATTGACTTCATCGTGAGAAATGAACATCCTTTTGTTTCATGTGTAATTTGGAACTGTGAAGCCTCCCTTGTTACTGCTCTGCTCAGACAGGGCTGCCACACATAACCGTCGTGATTACTCATCCTTTCATTTACTGAGTTTCCACCACTTCAAATGCACAAAGATTAACAGTCTATGTGCACAGAGTACTGCCATAAAGGGATCTGTTTTGAGTTGGGAAAGGGAGACGTCTCTTGATGTTCATTACATCATAAGAATCTTTCTTATGAAGGAAAAACTATAAAATCATCAAAATATATTTAGCATAAATTATTTAAAATCTTGGCTTACATGTCATTCTGACACATAGGTATTTGTGAGATGATTGCATAAATGATTTTGGATTGTTATTACTAGAAATATTAAATACATATTAAAGTGATTTTATAGATCAGATCAGTTCTCCAAAAATATTTATCACACCTATTCATGTACTCTTAAAGAGAGCTGGCTGCTCCATGGGATGCGTTTTTGCCTTTAATTCACAGTAATTCCTTTTAGAAATGTGAAAGATATGAGTTCAGTGCCTTAAAACTTGTGCATAGTTCATGGACATTTCTTCTTCAAGTCTTTTGTCCACATAGGGGTGTAGCCTGGAATTCCAGTTTATTACACTGAGTCCTCAGCTGTGGCTCCCCTCTCACCTCTAACACGCAACCCCAAAGTCACATAAACTCATTATTTATCCCCAGGACACAACTTAGTGTGTGCTTGTTTATGAATTGATCTGTAATAAGCCCACAGGAGCTCAGCAGTATAAAATTTGAAATAAATAACACCCGGGGCCAAGAGTTGTCCACAAAATGAACTTCACCCTACTATTTTCATAAACCTCCAACCCCCCACCTGCTGACTTCAGATCTCTTTCAGCTTCAGGAGAGCCAGATGTTCTTCACTCCGTGTACTCAAAACCACCACTCTGAACCCCAGGAAAGTGAAAAGAGAACATGCTTTGCTGTCCACTGCCAAGGGCACTCCACCAGGATCCAGAAGCCTGGGAATTCTACCCTGGGGAAAGAAAGCAGGAGCTTCCCAGCCAGATTCACCTCCCACTACAGGAGATTGTTTTTAATTGTTCTTTGAAGAGCCTTTCCAAGTTTTATAAAGCCTTGTCCACCCACTCAAAGCAGGCTTTGCTGTACTCTGGGAGCAATCATGGTTTCTTCCTAGCTCTCTGTCATGGGCACTGAAGCTTTGAGCAGAGATCCTTTTTTCCACTTTCTCCTGGTGACAGTACCCAAGTGACTCCAGATGCAGCAGTGGTGACAGCTGAGATCTTTTCCATGGCAAGCTTTTAGCTGCAATTCAGTTATTTTCAAAATATCCCTGGAAAATGTGTCTAAATGACATTATTTCCCTTCTGTATTATCAGTAGTAAGCATGCATAAGCAGCTTTTTAGTAAACGTGCCCATTTAAGCTGGTGAAATATCAAACCAAGTAACCATTCTGACAAAAAGTGGTAACTGGCCCATGGTGCTCTCTTCTCACCCTTTTATTTAAATTCAATTATAGTTCAAAAGCTGGGACCTGTACCTAGCATTGTGTTCAGGCCTTAGCATACATTGACACCTTTAATCCCTCAACAATCTTATGATATTGCTATGCATTCCAATTTTTCACATAGAGAAATTGAGGTTCACATAGGTACAAAACGGCAGGACTGGTATGTAAAACCGATCTATCCAAATCCGAGGCCTAAAGTTTTTACCACTGTGTTCTATTCCTCCCCAGAATTCCATAGTATTCCATGGTAAAACATAGAAGAGCCCCATAGGGACATTCATGAGTCCAGTTTTTAGATTAATGGACTATTTATTTTGATTAACATTGAGTTTTGAAGCTTATGTACATTGTCATTGGGGATAAAAATTGGCCTGGCTATACTAGAAAGCCTGTTTATTTATAATTTATTTTAACTTTTGTTTTGAAATAACTTCAGACTTACAAAAAAGTTGTATAAACAGTACAGAGAATTCCTGTATACCCTTCTCATAACTTTCTCAAGTTTTAACATCTTACATAGCCATAGCACAATTAACAAAATCGTGAAATTAACCTTGACAAGAATATTAGTAACTAATTTATAATTCTTATTCAAATTTTACCAGTTGTGCCACTAATGTTCTTTTTCAGGTCCAGGATCGAAATTCCCAAATTGCATTTAGTGATCATGGTTCCTTGTCTCCTACAATCAGCAACTGTTCTTCATTCTTTCTTTGTCTCTTATGGCTTTGACCTTTTTTAATAGTACTTGCTATGATTTGAATGTGTCCTCCAAAGTTCCTGTGTGGAAACTTAATCCCTAATGCAACAGTGTTGGGAGGTGGGAGACTAATAAGAGGTGATTAGATCACAAGGACTCTGCCCTCATGAATGGATTAGTGTTTTTATTCTGGGAGTGGATCAATTATAAAAGCAAATTTGGCCCCCTCTTGCTCTCTCACTGAGGAGCTCTCTTTCCCTTCTGCCTTCTGCCACAGGGTAATGTAGCAAGAAGGCCCTCACCAGATGCTGTCCCTTCAATCTTGGACTTCCCAGCCTCCAGAATCATGAGAAATAAATTTCTGTTCATTATAAATTACCCAATCTCAAGTATTCTGTTATAGCAGCACAAAATGGACCTAGACAGTACTGGCCAATTATTTGATAGAATGCCTCACAATTTGGGTTTGTTTAATGTTTTCTTATGATTCAGGTTATGTATTTCTGGCAAGAATCATATGGAAGTGATGTTGTTGTCTTCTTAGAGCATAAGATCAGGAGGTACATGATGTTGATATGTGTCCTTATTGGTGCTGTTAACTTTGATCACTGCAAAGTTACTCCTTTCCTTTTTTCAGTTAGTATCTATTCTTTAAATTTAAACCCTCTTGTACTTATTTATAGTTATATAATTTATTACCTTTGGGCCCAGTGTCCTCAAGTATTAAATGTGGTTAATAATCATAGCTCTACATACTGATCGGTGTTATTGTGAGGCACAAATAACATATGTGAAAGTGCTTTGTAAACTGCGAAGTTATATAATGCACCAAGTTAACATAGTGAATCACATATATAATGAGAAGCCACAGGTTGATAGACTACCCAGCGTTTATATTATATGCTTTCAGACTTCCACTGACATCACTTAAAAGGGATATTTCAGAATTAGCCTGCAGTCAGCTATGCAAGAAAATTTGTGTGCTGTGACTTACTGTCATAGACCTCCCAGAAGAGACCAAATCTTCTTTGTGGTTTTTAGGATATGTTCCCTGGACCTCTCATTTAAATTAATAAACATAAAGAAAAACAATCACAGTATGTATTATGATTTGGGATTACCCTAAACAATGTAACGTTGTAATTTCTCTATAATTTTACAAACGCAATAGGCACATACTGATTCATTAATGCAAGGGTACAGAGCAGTCATATTCCTTTATATTTCCAGTGAGCACCCACATGACATATTAGTGGGAAGTCTAGTATCTCACTTTTGAAACCTGCCCTGGAAAGCATTCCTCTCCCACACACATACAGACCCTTGTTACAGTTTAATTTCAGTTTAAGAATCTCAAGGCTTACTCAATGCCCTAGGGAAATGAGTTTAATCCTTTACTATAGCTTTGTTTTTTGCACTCACTGGAAATCATTGTTAAAACTAGCTTTGCACCATGCCACGAAAGCATGTCCATCCTGCAAGGACACCCTCATACCTAAACCAAAGAGTGTCCCATGTTCAAATGCTCAGCTTTGTTCCCGAACCACAACAATATGCCAGGATAGCTGGATCCTAAGGCAATTTTCAATCTCAGCCACATTTTTGTTTTCCAAAACAGCCTTCCTCTGTCATAGACCAAGGGCCACCACCCCCACATAGCCCATTCTTTTTTCTATGTTTCTTTTTGAAGCTATTGATATCCTTTTTGCCCACTTTGGTCTACCTGTGCCAGGCCATCTGAAGAGGTGAGCAAAAGTCCATAATTTCAGACTTTAGTCAGAAAGTCCAGAGTTTATCAGACTCCTCTCTGCTGACCAGCTATGCTGATTAAGAGGTATGGTGAGGAGCTAGCTTTGGTCAGGTCACAAAAGATTCCCATTATACTCTTGCCCTTGGTAAAGACTGCCCAGTAGTCACCCTATCCTTATTTAATGTAAAACTTCAAGAGATTCTGGAAAATGATCTGTTATATGATGATTTACTATGTTCAGTAAAACAGAAGGGAACAGTCTCTGGTACCTATTACACAAATGCATATAATTAAATGTTCAAGCATCAGCTATATATGAATATAAAATAAGGTTATATTTCCTTGTAAAGCTCCCACAATAATAGCTCAAGTCCCATCTACTGGTTTTCCATGAATTAGGGAACTTCCAAGCATCTTTGAGCTATTTTCTGGGAGGAAATAGTGGTGCTCACACATTTGTTCAGTCTTGCTCATGCATTTGCTCATCACACTGCACTTTGCTGCCTTTATACTGAGAACCCCTGTCACGTGTCTTCTGGACCAGACACAGCTATCCTCTCCTGATGAACACCAATGCCACCAGCCCCGTGGCCTCTAAGAGGGGACACTGTTCTTTCCCTCAAGCAAAGAAGAGACCAAGTGGTACGTTCTAATCAGGCTTTGCTGAAAGTTAATAGAAAACAAAAGGGACTATCCACATGCAGAATACATTAGAAGCTACAGTGGATGTCCTCTCAAGTTACTCTGGAGAGTCCTCCCAGCCCCAAGTTCAGGACAACATTCTTCAGAGTCCCTAAATGATACTTCTCTGTCTTTCTCCCAGCCTGGTATCTGGATGAGGATGGCAACCGCTCTTCAACAGGTGTGCCCTCTAGCACATCTGCTTTATTTGGTTTCCATGAGGCTTCAGAGAGAGGAGAAAAGACTCCCCACACTCTCCCCCAGACCTAACCGTCAAAACCCCACAATCCCGAGTTTTTACTTGCAGTCCCAAGATTCACCTCTTCCCAGGGTGATGGGCAGTGGATTACTCTACTTCAGAGGAAACCACAACTTCCATCTTCAGAGATGTGGTCTGGTCCTATGGCGTCACCCATATATGGCACTAAAACTTTAATATACTTTCCCAAATCTGCCTTATTTAGCCTTAAATAGACAGCAATCTTTCTGTATAGGTTGCATACCACAATATTTTTTTTTCTCTTCCAGGATAAGGTAAACATCAAGTTCTCACTGAAATGGCTCCAACTTTCCCGGGCATGGGGAAGAGAACCTCAAACAAAAAATCACTCTTCAAGGCCGCTGAATAATAAACATGCCAGAAGAGTCTAATTCCATGCAGAGAAAGGAAACATTGGCCCCTAGGTAGCAACTGCTAAACATACCTACATTTACATGAACAAACAGAGAATTTTACTTCTTAGTTTAAAACATTTGAATCTAATTTATCTCACTATATTTAAGTTTCCCCTTAAGAACTATGGTTAAACTTCTGCCTTACCTTTTACATAACAAAAAAATGCATATTACGGGATTTCTCCCAGTTTGCTACATAAATTTGAGCTAGAGGTAGAACCCGGCTTGCAACTCTTAAATAATAGTTTTCCCCACATCTATATTCAGTAAGATTTTAAAATTTTCATCAAAGGACTGAATTTCACATAGAATGAGACTAAAGCAGGGTCTTCCCCGGCCTCACACCAACCATGGCCACCTTCATTCATGCATTTGCTTAAACAGCTCCCTTGCCGGTTGACCATCTGGAAACGCTGTGGTGTACATTCTATTCAGTGTCTTCATGGCACAGAAAAGGCTCCCAAGATTCCAGGAGTCCTGCCATACCGTGGAAGGATTCAGAAGCAGTCCACGTGTTAGGATGTCTACAGTTGAGAAGGAGGTCCAGAAGAGAGTCCAGTATAATTAGTCTACAGCAAAGTGAAAACAGATGGCACTTCTACGCAGCTGTGCTTTCTTCACTGTAATTTTGAGAGTTGAACGATGATCTCTATGGCTCCTCCAAACTCTAAAACTCTGTGACGCTATAATATCCTTAGCAACATTTTATGGGACTGTATAGTCATGAAAAAGCTTTGGGAAGCCACGTATTTGGGCTTGTCTGGGGACCATTCCTCTGCAAAAGATTGGTTTCTGGCCATAGGAAGGTGGCCATGGTTTTACCAAACTTAGAATACATTAACACGGAGGCATAGTGTGCCTACATGATGGACCCTGTGGGGCAAACTAAATTTGAACCACATTGTAACTATCTTCCTGCATCTTTAGATTCCTGGGAAGCTTAATATACTTTTAAAGGCAGTTTATTTTGGCATAATTAATAAGAAATATAGTTTTTTCATCATGGTATTTAAAGCTTGGTTCAATAAGTTACTTGGTATTGGTTACTGTTCAGTTAGGATTACATCCTCAAAATCTCACTCTACTTAACATTAAAAAGAAAGTTTAGTACATTTAATATACCAAGTCTCTAGCCTTAAAGAAAAAGAACTGCACTTATATTCCAGAAAAACTGAGGAAAAGACTGATTCTCTTTCAAGTGACCATTTTATATCTGGAATAATGTGTTGCATTGGAAGGAAATTACATGGTTAAGACAGCCAATTATGTCTGGGGGAAAATATGACTTGTCTTTCATATTTATAAATATGCCTCTCTATCAAGACCATCCTTTGGCTGGGCGCGGTGGCTCATGCCTGTAATCCCAGCACTGCCAGCACTTTGGGAGGCCAAGGCAGGCTGATCATGAGGTCAGGAGATCGAGACCAGCCTGGCCAATATAGTGAAACCCCATCTCTACTAAAAATAGAAAAATTAGCCAGGCATCGTGGCATGCACCTGTAGTCCCAGCTACTCAGGAGGCTGAGGCAGAAGAATCGCTTGAACCCGGGAGGCAGAGTTTGCAGTGAGCCGAGATTGCGCTGCTGCACTCCAGCCTGGGCAACAGAGTAAGACTCCATCTAAAAAAAACAAAAAACAAAAAACAAAAACCAAAAAAACAAAAAAAAAACAACCATCCTTCAATAAACAGCTCTGGCATTACTTTGTTCATTGAATGTTCCCCAACTCAACTCTATCTTATCTTTTGATTATTCTGTGAACTTCTATCATGCTAAGCTCCGTACTTGATAATTTAACAATACATTGCTTTTTTGGCTTCCATTAATTTGTTCTTTCCAACTGAACTGTAAACCTGAAACTAAGAATGGACTCTTCTGCTTCTTTATGTAACCCATAGCACCTTACAGAGTTCTTAGCAATAGAAGGTACTAAAAATAAATGCCTGATTGACTCAGGCAGAAAGAAAATATATACACAGATAAGCTAAGAACACACATATATCTTTTGCTATGCTATGACTGAACTAACACCAGACTAGCGTAGTGTGTTAGAGAAAATGAATGCATGGAAATGAATAATTCCCTATTGGCAATCAGAAAGCTAATTAGCTGGCAAAGTATTGCGTTTATTTTGTTTGTTTTGTTTTGCTTCCAGAGAGTTCTTGTACTGTTGTTAGCCAAGACCTGTTCAGAAAACTTAGGTCCGTTTGGAAGATATAGGTTTATTTGAAGATCTCCAGATCACTCTCAAAATGTGATTTCAGGCTAGGCTCAAAACAACTACGGGAATGAGGAGCAAGGGAAGTAAGTGGCATTCAGAATTTCTGACAAATGTATTAGGCTAAGAGCACCCGCTATGTTACTGTGGGCTTTCTGATTTGACTCAGTCTCAAAGCTTTAAGAGAGTAATTTTGGAATCTAGAAACCAGGCTGTGGCCAGTAATTTCAAATGGAGAGAAATTTGTAAAAATAAAAGGGGTTCATAGCTCTCCAGATTCCATACTGAGGATAGAATGCTCTGATAAGCTAGGTGCCTTCCTCAGATGGCATCGCCATATGAACAAGGATATGCTTTAAGGTATTGTTGAAGTAACAACACAGGGTAGGGAATTATATATCCTGGGAGCTACATATAAGCTACTAAAAGTCATGCAAATATGATAAAGTAGGTTGTATATCTCTATGATGAGTTATCTAGTATCCTCCAATATTTGGAAAACATCACTCAAGGAAATGCTATGAAAAAACTGTTGTCAAAATTGGGTTGCAAACCTATTTCTAAAATTATCAGCACGTGCCAGTTTCAACTTACTACCACATTATCTGGACTCTATAAAGAGAGGAAACTTGAAAATTATTTTAGCCATCCACTTCATATAGCACCGCTTTCAGTAAGATCATTTTTTTGTTTCCAGTGTAAATGACTCTAACCAAAAAGATCTTCCTTTCAGAAGATTTCCACATAGTACTGGTAGTCTGTTTCTGCCTCATGTTTTATACATGAAGCTGCTGCCAAAAAAAAAAAAAAAAATCTGTCAATTGAACAAGTTCAATAGGAAATTAAAGACTTATTTCCTTCAGAGAGAAAAATGTGTGACAGTTGTCATGCATAAATACGCAAATGCACTTCCCATTGCCAAGATTTTCCAAAGAAAGCTTCAGTTTGTTCAAACAATAGACTAGCTCCTAGATCTTCTAGCTAGCTACAGGAACTTGTGATCCTTGGTAAATGTTAGCAGAATAGGCCTATTCACAAAGGCTGCACACCTGACCATCTGATCTCAAACACACAATGTACCCTCATCACTTCTGGGAAAGACCAGCCTTGAATTTTTTTATAGGTTGGACATAGTGAAAAGGAATCAAGGTTCTGCTTATATTTGTCCACATTTTCACCAGCAACAAGTTTGGTAAACGCCATTCATTACCCATGCATGCTGGAGACCAGCTGATGAGAAAAGAAATTTAAATATTTTTTCATATGCATTTTAATGTAAGCAGATAATTATTACTGTAATTATTGATTTCATTTATTTTCCTATTAGTACCACCCCACAGGCTAATTTTTATGAAATGAGTTGAGCTTGTAGATATCAATCAGGACTAATTATTTCTTTCTTCATTACTAAAAACCATGCCTTGTCTCTTCCTGTGAGAACAAGTTTTATATTTTTAATTTGTTTCTCATATATTTATGTGTCAGTAATTGGTTCATGTATTAGTCTAATGTCTACCAAAATCTTTTCTATTTATCAAAAAAAGAGCTAGAATATATACTGAATGTCTTCCTAAGGACAAATTACTGTATAGTGATGGCAAATATTTGACTATTCTTTTTCTTCTTTATGTTTTGATACATAATTATAGCTATTATTAATCAAATTATCTCAGCTATAGTGAAGATGATGAATAGCATTTTTAAGCCTCTACCTGGAGAAATGAGGACAGATTACTTTATATAACATACCTGTGTTTGTCTCCATGCCTTCCAGAAGGTTTCACATGAATATATTTATATTTTATTTCTCTTAGCCTTATGTGCTTGGTACCCTCCACATTTGTCATTTATAGGTATATCTTTCTCAATTTACAAAATGAAGATATCAGCCAGGATTGACTCTTTGGCAAAGAAATAAACCCAGTGAATGTTTGACTAGCATTCAGTTATACTCTTTTAGATTAAAACTTCAAATGACATTTTCTGCATGTATGTAACACTTGGGAGAACCATAACACCCAGACTTGCTCATGGTTTTTCCTTAGGCTATCCAAATAAGAAAACAAGTCTGTATTTTCCAGACAATAAGGCTGAAAACAGTGTAAAGAAGTGTGATGATTCAGGTCAATGAGGTAATTGAAGAAACGTCATGACAACCAAAATTAAAATGACCAGTTTCCCATTTGCATGTGCCAGCAATTCCTCAGGAAATCTTTCTGGTTGCTTTTTGCTCCTATTAGACAGGATAATGTGGCTACAAATTATATCCAACTGAGAGAGGATTGACTCATCCTCAGCAGGTATTGTGGGAGCAGATAAACCCCAAAAGGACAACAGTCAGAGAAATAGCTGAGAACAAAGCAAAACACACACAAACATGCACACACATACAGATTATTACATTACATAGTAGATTATAAAATTAATATACATATATTAATTTTTCTCTCCCATTTCTACTGTGATAATTCTTGGTGATCATTTTAAAACTTTCAAAATAAAAAGTTCCTGTTAACTTCATACCACTCTAACTTGCTTCATGATTTGTTATATATACTATGGTACAAAACAATATTGAAGACCATGGCATCTTCCTCTTACCTACTCAAATGTTCTCTAGGACAGTAATGTCATCAGAAGGTACCTTCCTCCCATCTGGTCATGGCCTTCACAGTAACAAAAGGTGGAGGCATAATACCATTATGAGCCCTCCCTTGTGTTGGACATCCAGGTACACTTTTGCTGAGTCTTCTGTAGCCAGGAGAGACATAAAAACAGATATCCTGTTCTACCTACACCTGTCTCTTCTTCTGTGCCCCACAGGTTTGGAGGTCAACTGCAGTGAGGTCTCTATACCACAGAGTGGTGAGTCCCCAAGTCCCGGTGAACTTAGGAAATGGGCATTATCCTCTGGAAGACGTTTATAGAGGTGACTTTTTTGGTAAGTCCCTGGGACTCCTGTTGACATGGGAATTACTTTCTTCCCTCAGTTGTTGGCGTCTCACATGGCCATTCATCAGCTCAATACAAACAAGTCTTCACGGAGGTGGAGTTTCCTCCTCACCTGTTGCTAAACCAGGCAGCGTGGATTGGCATATTCACTGACTTCATGGCACGAAGGCCTACAAAAGCGGAACAACTTTTCACCAGTGCAAAAATGTTCCAAAAGATACTCTCTCTGTCCAATACACTTGTAAGTGCATTCTAGAATATAAAAAATAGAGAGAGATAAATGTTCTGTTGAAAGATAATCTCCCAAAATATAAGTTTTTATGTAAGACAGTGCTCTCAAGTCATAAATGGTAAATTCTTCTGAAAGTCACAGAGGAAATTACTCTTAAGACCTCTGTCTTGTTAAGTTATCATAGTAATAAAATCTCAACCTACTAAGGTAACTTTCTAAACATGTCAGAGCTTGAAAGTCTCTTGTAAACCTCTAAATACAAAGAAAACCTAAGTTTATTTATTGAAGTTCAAGCTGTAGAAATCTGACAGCTTTGAGGACTTTAAAAGATACTGAATCAACTGCTATAAAAGGAAAACAGTCTTGACAATTTTAATTCATATAGTATTACAACTGAAGAAACTATTTGATGATTTATGAAGGGCACATTTGCCGGCTGTGTTTTGGAGTTTTTGCATGAAAAGTGAATTTGTACTCAGACTGTTTGCATCTTCAAAGACCCATGAGCTTGGCTGTAGGGGCATGCAACATTAGGTTTGGAAATATATGAAATAAATATTGCTATGCCTTAAGAATGTGATTTAACTGTCAATTTGCTTTGATACGTAGGTTTAAAGTTTTGGGTTATTTTATATATGCTATTCATGTATATCTGTATTGGAGGCATCCACTCGCTGCTTTAGAAGCTCCTGGAGAGTAGAAATTGTCTCCATGTAGCTCTCAGCAATTAATAAACACTGAAGGCAACTGGGCTTTTAATTCTTTTTAATGCTTAGTTACTTAATTCAATATCTACTCCATTCTATTTGGTCTCAAGTGTATTGTGTGTGAACAGAATAAACAAAAGACTGAATGAATGAAGTCAGATGTAACTTAGACAAAGTTTCTGGAATGGCTCCTTAATAAAATCCTCTTCAAAGAATAGGATCCAAACAAAGAGAGGACACATGATTTCTGAAATTAAAATCACTGTCTAATTGGAGAAGATAAATGTACCCACGTGATTCATCCAGAGACTAATTACAAAGCAGCCTGTGAGCAAGTCTAAGATTGTTTAGTATACACTAAGTGTGCGGTTGCTAAACAGACGATGTGCAGATAAGCATCAGCTATGGGCAAGCGGTGGTCCCTGTCTTCTCCTGAACTCCTACCTTCTATTAATATTTCAACATTCCTCTTCCTTGGGAACTTATTCTCCAGGAGCTCAATCACTTTATGAACAAATATAAGAGAGACCTATGACACCCAAGATTTTCCCTTGTATTCCCTTTGAAACCAATATGTGTTTTGTTTCTTCTTGAACCAAACCATCAACTTTGCCATTATAACCTAATGGAGAGGGAAATTAGTTTAATGGGTCAGGTGATCTTTGAGTGTCTCTCAAATCATTGAATGCAATCAACTTTCTTTCCTGCCTGCTGGCTCCATCTGTAATCAGCAGAGATTTCTTGTACAGAGAAGAGTAAGGGGCACCTTCCTGAAAGAGCTGTGTTTGTATGCAAGGCACAGGAAAAACTGATGCTCTAACCTTCAGTGATGTGGTGAGGACTTGTCTTGGGCATAAAACTTAAGTCAGCACCAAATAACACAATAATCAGGATAGATAGTATTTTAATGCAATATTTTTAAGATAAAATATATGCAAAAATATTCATGATAAAAAATATCAAAGTTTTAAATAAAGACAGGATCAATACTACTGATTTTTTTCCTTTTGCCTTAAGCTCCAATATGACTTAGCATAGCAAGGTTACTAGTTCTATTTAAAAAAAAAATTAGTTTTGCTCATCGCGGATTTTCTTGCATTAATCTTAACTTTAAAAAATTTCGTTAAAATATTATTTGTCTTGATTATTGACATTTTTTATTGCCCCCTTAAGTTTTTCACCTGAGATAAGTGACTCATTCAGCTTACTTTTCCCCACTGATGATAAAGAGGAAAAGAGGGAAGATAAATTGCTATGGGGTACAAATGACGAATGTAGTTTCCAATAATGTCAGAATATTAAATTTGAGTTTTCCTGGAATGAAACAATGATTTAGAAAAAAGAAAGAAAGAAAATAATAGATCTGGGATATAGTGATATACCTGGGAATTCTCATAGCCACAAGAGGGCATCAATTAAAATTTTGAGAGAATATGCACTCCAAGAGAGTATGGAAGGAAAAAAACAGAGAACTAAGGACTTACCTGAGGAGTTACCAATAGTTCTAAATGACAGATCTTTCTCTATGGATTATTGTACCCAAAGCATATGACATTCTAGAACAGGAGTTCTTCAACTTGCACATGCATCAGAATCTCCTAGAGGGCTCGTTGAAGTGCAGATTGCGGAGCCCACACCCAGGATTTTATTTCAGTAGATTTGAGGTGGGGGCTGGCATGTCTAACAAGTTCCCAAGAGATACTGAGACTTCTTATTCATGGGCCACACCTTGAGAGCAAGCGGGCTAGAATAAATAGACTCTATAACACAGTGGTTTGTTCAAAAATTTATGTAGTAAAATACTCTATAGAGAAATCAAATTGTATCATTTCTTACTATAAACTCTTAAGGAAGAAACTAAAGTAATTCTTCCACCTCCCTTCCAAGACTAGACAGTAAGGGCAATAAAGAAAGAAAACTAGTTGGAGTAAGATAATAGAGAGTGGTGGAGATTGTCAACTGGAGATTACGTGTCCAGTCTAAAGGTATTGAAGTTTAATTAAAACAAAACAAATCACTATGTGAGACAAACAATTTCTGCCTTTAAAATTCTGGGCCCAACAAGAATATTAGACTGGATTGCCTGAGGCCAGGTGCAGTGGTGCGAACACTTTGGGAGGCTGAGACAGGAGCATGGTTTGAGGCCAGGAGTTTCAGGCCATTCTGGGCAACATAGTAAGACCCTGCCTCTACAAAATATTTAAAAATCAGCTGGGCATGGTGGTGAACACCTATAGTCCTAGCTACTCAGGAGGCTAAGGTGGGAGGATTGCTTGAGCCCAGGAGTTGGAGGTTACAGCGAGTTATGATCTTGCCACTGCACTCCAGCCTGGGTGACAGAGAAAGACCCCATCTCTAAAAATAAATTAAAAATAAAGAAATAAAAATAAACTGGATCACCTGAAAAAGAAAGGCTTTGGAGGCTTGCTGATTTAATATTTGGGAAGGGAACAACTAGGTTACTGGTAAATTGGTTTGACTCTTCAACTGAGGAGAAAAAGGGGCTTAGGGTGCACAAGTGACATAGGTCAGCGCCATTAAAATGCAGCCCCTTATTGCTGAGAGGACTAAGAACTGTGTCCTGTGACCTAGGAAGCTCTGATGAGGGTCTCCAAGTCACGTGTGGCTGGAAAAATTGGAACTGCCAGAGAGCAGTCCATCTGTGAACAAGCCATTGAAACATGGGCTGTGGCAGCCACAAGTAAACAGAGATTGAGGAATGATGCTGTTGTCCTCCATCATCCTGTACCCCCAAATCTTGAGGTCCTTAGCCCAAGGTAGATAATGAGGGTTCTGAAAATCACTAAGTTTGAAGTTCTCATCAATCTTGAAAAATAAAAAGCTCAATCTATATTTAATATAATTTAGCAAAATGGGGAAATGTGACATTTTTTGCATTCCAAGTGTTAGAGTAACCCATACTTTTTCAGTTAAAGAAGACAACTTGATAGCAGACCAGCCTAATCTGAAGTACTAGCTTGACAACTGTTAGTTTATAGAGTAATATATGGAACCCAATCTGTCTACCCCCCTACTCCAAGAATTTGCTGAGAAGACATCAGTTTCATTCCTGCTTCCTTTAGCACAAGGTGGTACAACCTGTTTTCCACACTGCAAAGGGTGAGTCAGCTGAGAATTATATAACAGTTTGGAGTATGCCAAGCAAGTTACCAAAAAGGGATACATCTCATGGTTAGGCATAGGTGCCTGAGTGGATCTCAGTGTAAATAAGCTTCCAAGCAGGCTGCCTGGGCTCCATTTTTAGCCTTAAAACCCATGGAACAGAGAGAGATTCATGGGATGATAAAATGTCCAATAAACTGAAATAATTCAGCAGAAGAAAGGGCTAAGAACCAGAGACATGCAGGTGCTATGGTCTGAATGCTTGAACTCCCCCAAATTTCATATGTTGAAATCTAATCACCAGTGTGATGATATTAGGTGATGGGTCCATTGGGAGGTGATTAGATCATGAGAGCAGAGCTCTCACTGAGTGGGATTAGTGCTCTTACAAAAGAGGTCCTGGCCAGGTGTGGAGTCTCATGTCTGTAATCCCAGCACTTTGGGAGGCCAAGGCAGGTGGATCATGAGGTCAGGAGTTCGAGACCAGCCTGGCCAATATTGTGAAACCCCATCTCTATTAAAAATACAAAAATCAGCCAGGCGTGGTGGTGCACGCCTGTAATCCCAGACACCCGGGAGGCCAAGGCAGAAGAATCACTTGAACCCAGGAGGCAGAGTTTGCAGTGAGCCGAGATCGCACCACTGTACTCTAGCCTGGGCAACAGAGCAAGACTCTCAAAAAAAAAAAAAAAAAGAGGTCCCAGAGGGTTGCCTCATCCCTTCCTCTAGGTAAGAATGCAGCAAGAAGATACCATCTATGAACCAAGAAACAGGCCCTCACCAGACATTGATTCTAAAGGTGCCTTGATATTGGGCTTCCCAGCCTCCAGAACTGTGAGAAATAAATTTATATTGCCTATAGAAATTTATTGTTGAAAGAAATACCCAGTATGTGGTATTTTGTTATAGCAGCCCGAACGGACTAAGACAGCAGGTAGTAGTGAACCATCTTCATCTTCTGAAACAGGTATCTGAAAACTATACCCAGGGGCCAAATCTGGCCCACCATCTACTTCTAGAAAGAAAGTGTTACTAGAATACAAACACACTCATCTCGGTATGTTTCCTCTAGCTGCTTTGCATTGCAATGGCAGAATGGAGTGGTTGTGACAGAGACTGTATGGCCTGAAAAGCTGAAAATATTTGCTATCTGGCCATTTACAGAAAATCTTTGTTTACCCTTGCTCTAGAAAGAAAGACAGGAAAGTTCGGAGGCTCCACACGTACTAAATTCACCTGGATTATGGTCAAGTTGCATTTTATTTACATCTCAAAGGTCAGTAGACCTCAGCGATTTCTGTTCATAGTAATATCTGTGGACAGATTTGACAGAAAATATTAATATTCCTGACCTGGTGAAATCTGAAAAGAGTCCTTATCCAATGGTGGCTTTCAACCTGTTTTTTAGGTTCAGTCTTAATAATTGGTCCCAAACTTCAGATCTTGCTGATCCACTAGCTGGATTTTAAGCTGGCTAAACTACTGCCACGAGTTGCCCATAGTTTCACAAAAGGTAGCAGGTTGCTTTCTGACTCTGCCTGACGTGACTGTTTATGAGTAAAATGAAGAAATTGTAATTTGTCCTCGCAGTCCTATGCCCCTTCTTTCCTGGTAACATCTCAGTTGCAGTGGCCTAGTGTGCTCATACTTTCTTCCTATCAAAACCTGCCCCTATAAGACAACATCTAAAATTCGCTCACAGTAAAATACAAATAATATATGTCAAAGTCCTAGAGACATCAGCAAGTGTGGGGTGGAGGCACAGTAAACAAATTTTTCTTTCATTCTCTCTCTTTTTGAGGTGGGGTACAAACACACAGAAAAAAAAAATACCAGGTAGGCTTGTAGCTTCCAGCCCCCAAGAGCCAGCCCCTCTGTGCTTAATCCTCTGTGCTTAACCTAAGAACCCCTACAACAAAATCACCCAGAATGGTGAATTTTCTCAAATATTTAGGGAAGAAATAATAACGTTCCTATTCAAATTTACTCAGAAAATAGAGGACGTGGGAACACTTCCCAACTCATTCTATGAGGTTAGTGTTATCCAAAGACATCATGAAACAAAAACTACAGAATGGTGTTCCTCGTGAATATAGATAGAAAAATCTTTAACAAAATATTAGCAAACCAAATCCAGCAACATATAAAAAAGTAATACATATAAAAATGCCATAAACCATGGCAGTAATTCTACCAGCTTAAAATTCAGCTAGCGGAAATCCAGCTTTACCAAAGAAGACAAAGTTGGTATACCACCTGAAAATGAATCCATGTAATACATCATGTTAGTAGAACAAAGGAAAAATCTACATGATCGTCTCAGTAGATTCAGCCAAAGCATTTGACAAGACAAATACCCATTCACAATACAAACGCTGAACAAACAAGGAATAGAAGGGAACTTCCTCCACCTGTTCTGAATATTTTATAAACAAACAAACAAACAAATACCAGCGCTAACATGATATCCAATGCTGAAATACTGACTGCTTTCCTCTTAAGATAAAGAACAAGTAAGGATGTCCACTCGCACAACTTCTACGTAACACTGTATAGGAGCCTCTAGTCGAGGTAACAAGGCAGAAATAAAAAATTAAAGGCATGCAAATTGGAAAGGAGAAAGTAAAGCTGTCTTTATTAGCAGGCAACATGATCCCAAATGTAGAAAATCATAAGAAATACACAAAAACAGAGCAAAAAGCTAATAGAACTAATAAGCAAGTTCAGCGAGGTTACAGAATACAAGATTGATAAACAAAAAATCAGTCGTATGTCTAAATATTAGCAAACAATAGAAAATAACTTAAGAAAATGATTTCATTCCAAATAACATAAAAAATAGTAAGACACTTAAGAATAAATTTAACAAAACAGGTGCCAATGGTCGTGAGCAAATTTTCTGGGTTGATAGAAATGCTTTGAAGCTTGTTGCACAACTACGTAAACTTACTGACAATCACCAAACTATGCCCTTTGATAATTTTATAATATGTTGATTATACCTCAATAATACTGAATACTGAATACCCGAATATACAGCGCTCTGTATATGGACAGAGAAAAACTCAGTTGTCTTTCTTTCTTTCTCTCTTTTATTTTTAAGGTGGAGTCTCACTCTGTTGCTGAGGCTGGAGTGCAATGGCACAATCTCGGCTCACTGCAACCTCTGCCTCCCAGGTCCAAGCAATTCTCCTGTCTCTGCCTCTTGAGTAGCTGGGGATTACAGGTGCCCACCGCCATACCCAGCTAATTCTTGTATTTTTAGTAGAGACACAGTTTCACCATGTTGGCCAGGCTGGTCTCGAACTCCTGACTAAGTGATCTGCCAGCCTCGGCCCCCCAAAATGCTGGGATTACAGGCGTGAGCCACTGCACTTGGCCAAAAAACTGCATTAACTTTCTATTCTCACAATAGAAAAGGATATTATAAAATTAATGTCACATGATGGGCAATCAAAGATTATGCCACAAAAATGTGAGGGAAAGGAGTTTTAGAGGTTAGTTAGTGCATTAATAAATAATAATATTTCATTTTTTCTGGGCTATTTGGTAGTATTTGTCAGCACTAAAATGTTTTCTTTCTAAATAAATGTTTGCCTTATTTTTATATATAATTTGTATTTTTTAAAAGGGGGTCCTTAAAATCGTGTGAATTTGCATCTTATAAAAATCAACTTTTGTTTATTATACTCCTGTTCTCTAGCCTAGTCCCTTTCTCCAGAGAACCACTTTTACTAGTTTGTCATATAGCCTTCCAGAGATAATCTAATTAAATAACACTAACAAAACCAAAATTAATAATAACATGGTAGGTAATTCACAGCAACCCTATGAAAGAGGTACTTTTTTTTTATTGTTTAAGTTTTTTATAGGTATTATTTTCATCCCATTTTTCAGATGAGGACACCGAGGCATCAAAAGGTATAGTAATTTTCCTAAGGTAAGTTTCAAACCCAGGCAATCCAGCTGCAGACTCTATCATTTTTTTTTTAGACATAGGGTCTTACTCTGTTGCCCAGACTGGAGTACAAGTTGCTCAATCACAGCTCACTGCAGCCTGAAGCTCCTGAGTTCAAGCAATCCCCGAGCACCTAGGACTACAGGCACACACCACCATGCCCAGCTAATTTTTAATTTTTTAATAGATGGGGTCTTGCTATATTGCCCAAGCTAGTCCTGAACTTCTGGGCTCAAGCGATCCTCCCACCTCGACCTCCCAAAGTGTTGGGATGGCATGAGCCATGGTGCCCAGCCCAGAGTCTATTCTTAACTACTACACAAAATTGCCTTTCCATGCATCCATAGGTGTGTGTGTGGAGTGTGTGTGTGCGGGGGGGGGTGGTAACTTAAGCATAGAACTCTATTTTTTTACACATCCTATGCACATTTTTCTGCACTGTTTTTTACTGCTCAACAATACATCTTGGAGACAGGACTGAATACATTATTTTCTAGACCCAGCACAAAATGAAAATGTGAGGCCCCTTGTTCAAAAATTATTAAAAATATCAAGAGGGCAATAGCAGAGGATCAAACCAAGCACAGGGGCCTTTTAATCGCATGCCCTGTGCAACTGCCCATGGTTGCATGCTTATGAAGTCAGCCCTTCATGGAGATCCCAGAACCCAGAACTTTTGCCTCTAACTCTGGTCACAGCTGCATCTGTTTCTCATTGACTGATCATTAGTTGATCATAGAAATTACAAGCCACCTTCATGCCACAATCTAGGGACATACCAACTGTTTTGTTGTGGTTGTCAATCTATCAGGGGAGAGGCAACAAGCACACCCACATAGCTCCTGCTGTTGACTAAGAGAAAAAATGAGAGTCTGGCTGTGTACATGTATGGGTAGAGATCTGGAGATTAGAAATCTTTCATCTGCAGCTACCTTGCCTCTTATCTTTCACTTTATTATTAGCAAGGTAATTTAGGTCACTAATATTGATGAGATCAACAAAACCAGGATTAAATTCTTTCTCTTTGCCAATCTCTCCTCTCACCAAAACCAAAATTATTCCAACCAAGTAAAATTTTATTAAGCTGTTTTACCCAAACAGCACTGCAAAACTGGATGGCTAGACTCTTTGCAGCATTTCATATGATTTGGACTTTTTCTTGGCTTTATAGGGGAAAGCAGGGGCCATCTTAAGAGCTTTGGCTCATTGGCCTGCCACTGTGAAGATCAGAAGCAAGCCACTGAGTTGAAACCCTCCACATTCTTTTCTGCCCTGCAGATGGAAGATTTGTTTCATCCCTTCTGCATTTCCTGGCTGATGACCTATAGTGACTTGGGAAGTTAATTTGACAACTTGTTCACAAACGTATTGAATGAATAGCCAACAACAGAGTTAACTCTCTAACTAAAGTGACTACAGAGCAGGAGGCACTGGCCAGGCAAAGAAAATCCACTTCAGAGTCATCCAGTAGGTTACAGGCAGGGGAATAAAAAAAAAGGAGCCGAGAGGAAAATTTCCAGAACATTTCCATTTAGAAGCACGATCAGACTTGTTGACTAAGGTAGCGACGTTATCTAGGGCATGCATTTGACAATCTGGCACAGGTGATGAAACTGACAAACACACACAAGAAACTAGCACATTATCTGTAAATTGGTTGTGATTGAATATTTCATGTCATCAAGGGAATAGAGGCAATGAAAGAAAAGCCTTATTTCTCTGCAAAGAAAAGAATTTCTGTCAGAAAGGGACTAGGAAATAAAAGAGAAAAATGTCTTAAGAGAGATCACTATGCATTTGGTAAAGTACATGTTGTAAAAGGAAAAGGGAAAAGCAGCTTGATTCTGAAACTCTATTCAGTGTAATTTTGTGTAAGCTATTCTCTAAGGAGAGAGATTGAACCCTAATCAACCAGCATCTTCTTCCAGATGGCTCTAAGTGTGCCTTCATCTGTTTTTTAAGAGAGGGCGAAGATGATTTCTTACTATGAGGAAAGGCACATGTTGAGATTCGATCAAAGGGTTTTGCCAATACATATTTATAACTTGAAGAGCACTCTCAGAATGGTTTGTAAGGGTTTTCCCTTTACCCATTCTCTGCCTGGCATTTGTTGGTTCATAATTGCTGAGATGTTGGCATGCTTCAGCAGAATCCTGGTTCTTGAGTGGCTGAGTGGCTAAGTGGCAAGTCCACAGATTTTTTTTTTTTTACAGTAGACCCTTAATCAATACTTGCTGGATGAATGAAAATAAAGAGATCACATTCCCTTATCCAAAGTGATAGCAGTTGACAAAGTAAAAACTAAAGGAGAAAAGCCAGGTTGGCTTACTTCAGCTGAAGGCAAGAAGCTTAAGTGCCATCCTTGTCTACACAGGCTAGTGTAATGTGAACACAGATGCAAAATTTGATTCTGTGGCACTTCCAGCTTCATGAGCAACTTCAGCTGTTTGTCTTATAAACATAGTAACAGGGCTTTACCTGAAACAGTGCCTCTGTGTCAATGAAGTCATAATTGCTGAGGAGTTGCTGGGAGAAAGGATTCCTGAGATAGGGTTCCTGGCTATTGCATGTATTTATTCATTTCTTTACCTATTCAAGTATTTATTAAGCATTTACTAAGTCTCACTCAGTGTACCAAGATCCTGAGGATATACAGGTGAATAAAACAACACACTGCCTGCCACCTCAAATTTACAATTTAGTGGGGATAATTCAGTTGCAACAGTGTTTGATGAAAGCTATGCCACCATTGCTATGGGAGCACATTTTGAAGGATATTTAATCCAAATGTAGGGAGTTATGAAGCATCCCCAAAGAAAAGGCAAAAAAGCATAGACCTGAAAAATGAGTATGACCTAGCTAGGTGAAAGGTGAGGAAGGACATTCCAATCAAAGGGAACAGCATTTGTAAAATGCTAAAGGCAAGTTCAGGGAGAAGCATGCTGGGAACTAATCTGAGTTCATGGTGACTGAGAGTAGAGTTGGGTGGGTGGAGGGGAGATGAGCGGGATAGGCTTAGAAGGGTGGAGAGGACAACAAGAAGTCACCCACCCTCTTTCATACGTACGTAGGGATCTACATTTAATTGAATTAAATTCTGCAAACTTGGACTGTGCTATATGCTGCCAGACATAACAGGATTAGCAGGAAGCTGTCTTTGCCCTCAAGGAGTTTGAGTCAGTAGCAAATTCCCAGGTCCCAGGATCTATGTCAAATCACAGAACAGATAATCCATGAGATGGGAGATATCCCACAATGATACCGAGTGCTGATTCAGAAATGCTGGCTTGTGAAGGGAGGGTAATCTCGTTCTTTCACGTAGGTGATTTTAACTGTGATATGGGGGTATGTATATGTATATGTTTAAGACACACTGAGAGATATTCTTTTTTTAATATGAAGCATAAATTTTGTTGAAAACACATCTCCTATTGAAATGGATAAAGATGGCTTTTTTCCCAGTTTATCAGTCTACAGGTGAATATTATTTATCACTATAATGAGACAGAATTCACTGGGATATATACCCAAAGGAATTCAAATCATTCTATTACAAAGACACATGCACGCGTATGTTCATTGCAGCATTATTCACAATAGCAAAGACATGGAATCAACCCAAATGCCCATCGATGATAGACTGGATAAAGAAAATGTGGTACATATACACCATGGAGTACTATGCAGCCATAAAAAGGAATGAGATCACATCCTTTGAAGGGACATGGATGACGCTGGAAGCCATTATCCTCAGCAAACTAACAGAAAACCAAACACTGCATCTTCTCACATATAAGCAGGAGCTGAGCAAGGAGAACACATAGACACAGGGAGGAGAACAACACACAATGGGGCCTGTCAGGGCAGTGGGGTTGTGGGAAGGAGAGTATTAAGAAAAATAGCTAATGCATGCTGGGCTTAATATGTAGGTGATGGGTTGGTAGGTGCAGCAAACCACCATGGCACACCTCTCTACCTATGTAACAAACCTGCACATCCTGCACATGTACCCCAGAACTAAAAATAAAAATGAAGAAAAGAGAGATATTTTTATATTCATTTTATGAATATTGTGAAATGAAGGTTATTTAAATAAATTATTAATCAAAATTATCTTTTTGAATTCCAGAAACATTAAGAAGATGGAAATTCTATCGTAGAGTAAAATTACAGTGTATGCTTTGTGATGCAGTAGTAACAGGTGGAATTCAAACACTTAAAGAACAAATTCACCTCAAAGTTATCTTCCTTTTGGTAGGAGTTTGAAAAATCTGAACTCCATCTGATTTGATAAAGCAATTACAGACAATCATTTTCCCCTCAAAGTCTGCATATTTGACTAAGCTATAATCTAAAGAATCTTCTAGGACTTTGGGAAACTTCTTAGAGGAAATTTGCAATTTTGGAGACATAAAAATAAAGACAGTGCATATTTTAAAGTCATGGATCTTCAAATGAGTATGCTGAAGCTAACATTAATTGCCAAGCTACTCATCATCGTGCAGGAAAACTGATGATTTTTAATGATATTTTCTCTTTAGTATAATTTTGGTTGGATGATAATAAGTTTTTAAATAAGGTCTTTTCTGGACACCCATTCATGTAGACTCCAGTTCCAACCTTATCAGAGCTGTGATTTGTCGATCGTCAGAGCATGAGTTCTTTGAACAAAAAGGTACACAGCCAATTACAACTAAACAAACCAACTAATTACAATAATAACTTTGAAAAGCTCTACCCTAGACCGGGTGCTCTCATTCTCTGGTCAGAAGATTCTTGGAGCCAATACAAAAAACATTTCAAATCCATGCGCTTACCAAGCAATGTCTCTGTGCTAAACAAGTAATCTTATGCAAATACCTGTGCCATCTCCTAAAAACATATTCAGTTAGTTTTACGTTTTAATAAATAGAAAACATTTAAGGGTTACTAAATTTGTGGTAGGTTTTTTTTGGTCATATGTTCTCAAGCAATGTATTCTAAAAGTACAATTATAAGATAGCTTGAAATATTTTTACCTTAAAAAAGAATCCTCATTCTGCAGAGAAGAAGATCTGTTTAGTTTGTCTTGCAAGTGAGAGAATTGTTTTTTTGTTGTTTTAATTCACAGGCCACTTTTAAGTAAATTATACACAACATGGCAAATAAAGAGTTTGAGGATTGTAATTAAGCCCAGCAGAATTTTAGCTAGTCTAGGTAATATGCCTATGCATTGTTCTCCACCTACACAAAGTCCCTCAAAAGTACATGAGCTATTCAAAAAGAACATATCAACTTCTCTGCTAAGAAGTATAAGACTATATTGTAATCTCAATTGCAGCAACTTTCTTTGGCTTCCCTTATCAGATAATGTTATCACCTTTTTCCATGGCATGATGCTTTCATTATGTTTTTAAAGATGTAATTATTCTTGTGACTCATTGCAAGCTATCTCAAATTCTTTTTGGAAGTAGGTGTGGCATGAATAATAAACTAATTAACTTGCAATGTTGTACAAGAAATGATTCCATTTTAAAGCCTTTTCTGAATAATGTGTCCTACTAGGCCTAAATCTTTGTCAGAGTGAGGAACAAAGTTTTCAAAGTCAGGCAAGCAATACTAACTCAACACTTACTGACCGTTTTGTATGTGCTTCTTGGTGCTAGGAAACAGAAATAAATTAGAATCACCTGCCATGTCCTTGCGATATATCAGCTCAGAAAATTATAGGGCTGGGGGTGGGAGATGTCTTCAGCAGCCACATTCACAGTTTCATTTTTGCCTTTTTTGAAGTCCTATAGAAGCAGAGAAAAGAGAGCAATGGGGTTTTTATGGCTCTTGGGGAAGTAGAGAGTGAATCAAAAATGTTTGCTGCACCAAAGAGACATTTGAGATATGCTGAAGGATTAGCTGTATTTCACCGTGCAAAGGAGAGAGGGAGGTTACTCCAGGGAAAGGGATCAGCTTCATACAAAGGCACTGTCCCAGTTTTCCTTCTGCCTTTGTAGCCATTTTATTAGCTCTTCCTCTTTGACCCATTCCTAAAAAATTGGGGTTACGCGGGACTCTCGCCTGGGCCCACTAAATCATCTCATACTACAAACAAGTCTTAAACAGTCTCATCCACACCCATGAATGGCTTGATTCCCATCTTTATGTCGATTGCATCTAAAAACACCAGATGAGTAGAAACCAAACCCTTCTGGACATCCCTTCTTTGGTATCTCACAGATAACTCAAACTCAACATGTTCAGAACTGAACCCTCCTTCTCATACTGTTTCTCCTCTAGTTTTCCTGTTTTTGTTACGGGCACTACAATCCCCCAGGTGCTCACACCGAAAACCTAGGAGTCATTCACTATTCCCCTTTTCCCACCCCTAGCCCCTATCCAATAACTTGCCAGGTCCAGTCCTGAATTATGTCCTAAATTATAAAACTCTGTGTCCTAAATTACTGAATAGTAACCAGCTGGCAGAAGGTAAGAAGGGGATAAACAGGAATGTGAGGCTCATGGAAATGGTGCACACCAGAAGTGAGGCCCAGAGGTTCAACTATAGTACCAGGCATAACTTGGTGTTGCATGTTGTTGGTAGTTACAGTGAGTCTTGCGGTGTCTGAAGGCTACACACCAAGCAAGCATAACACATGCTATTCCTGTGTGGTGGGAAAGTATTGCCAGTGCTCCTAGCAAATCCATTTGTCTTCTATCAAATAATGCTCTTTGGAGTCACAAGACTAGGAGTCATGGTGGAGGCTCCTAATGTGTAGTAGGTGAGGTTTCTCTCTCTCCTCCTGGTTTCCAACATTGATTAGTCTCAGTTAGGGAACTCGTGACAAATGTGCTATACTCCTGTATCAAGGACTTAATAAAAATTGCATTAAATTAGTGAATGAATGAACCATATTTCCTCATTTGAGAATTGTTGGTTTATAGACCTTGCCTATTTATCTTTGTGTGTGCTGAGTGAGTCTGCAAAAGCTTATCGTATAATGAACAAGGATAATGCTATCTGTGTCACATTTGCCACAAAATGTTTTTTCTAGTTTTGCATGGGGGGTATATTTTTGTGAGCAAATTTGTCTCCATGTTCCCTGGTCATCTTTTCTCTTCCAGACACAGGGATCTATCTTGCTTTGGCCTATGCCTGAGCACATAGAAATCCCCAAATGGAAGGGGAAAAGGGATTTCAGTCCAGAAGGGCACTCCTTGCTTTTTCACTGATCATATACATGTCTCAACACTAAATACTTTCATTCAGGCAGGAGTTATCACTTTAAGGTAAAACAATTCCACATTTAAAAAAATGTTTTTCAAACACAACATACAACACTCCAGTTAACTGAACGTTTGGAAAAAGTTTTTAGTATAACTCATTTCACTTCAGTACGTCTATTTTCAGAATGGCCATTGTGCCAAGGACAAGTTGATCAAGTGACTTCCCCTAAGTGTTCTGGCAATCCACCCTGATGACACACTGCCAGTTATCAAAAGCACAATCAAGTTCAGTAGAACTGAAGCCTAAGCCTGCAGGGTTGAGACCGCTGCGCTTTAAAAACAGGCCCTCCAACATGGTGAAGCCTCGTCTTTACTAAAATACAAAAAATTAGCCGGGAGTGGTGGCGCATGCCTGTAGTCCCAGCTACTTGGGAGGCTGAGGCCGGGGAATCACTTGAACCCAGGAGGCGGAGGTTGTTGTGAGACGAGATCGCACCACTGCACTCCAGCCTGGGTGACAGAGCAAGAGTCCATCTCAGAAAAAAATAATAATAATAAATAAATAAAATAAGGCCAGGCGTGGTGGCTCACCCCTATAATCCCAGCACTGTGGGAGGCCAAGGCAGGTAGATCGCGAAGTCAGGAGTTTGAGACCAGCCTGGCCAATATGGTGAAACCCCGTCTCTACTAAAAAATACAAAAATTAGCCGGATGTGGTGACGCATGCCTGTAATCCCAGCTACTCAGGAGGCTGAGGCAGGAGAATCGCTTGAACCCCTGAGGCGGAGGTTGCAGTGAGCCAAGATCACACCACTGCACTCCAACCTGGGCGACAGAGTGAGACTGTCTCAAAAAAATAATAATAAAATAAAATAAATAAATAAGTAAATAAAAGTAAAAACAGGCCCTCAGTGTGCTGAGTCCTGTCTGGATATTGGTCTTGAGTCACTCTAATTAATTAAAAAACAGGTATTTTAAAATTATTACTAAAGTTAATCGTGACAAAGAATGTTAATGGCAAAGAAAGTGGGAATAAAAGTGAACTTCCTTCTTTAGTCCCTCAATTCACCCACATTCCCATAAATATACTGTTTACCCAAATAATAATACAATATACATATTGTTGTACACCTTGCTTTTTCACTGAATAATAGATGCTTTACGATACATAACAATAATCTGTATAAACAGCTAGTTTTTATACTGATAGGCACTACACATATTGACAAGCCTGTAGCAAATATAATTAAGAAGAGAGTTAATATCAAAGGAAGAAACAATATTCCTGAAGTAACTGGTAACTACAGTTAGAAAATTAAAAGACTTGTAATAAATGGATAATTTTTCCAATAAATTTTCAAATAAATTTTAAGATTGCCATGGGACCAAGGATGCAGAGGTCATTTTAAATTCAGGATACACTAAGGCCAAGCAGATCTGGCTGATCCGCTTACCAGAGTCACCATACTTGCCTAACGAGATATTACACCTCCAATAAACTCATTGTTCTGTGTCTAAGAAGTGCCTAGCACTCAATAAATATTCGTGGAATGAAGGAATCCACTATGCAAAGTGAACCAGTCGTTAATCTTGGGAGCTCACTTTCTGAAGCAGTCTCCTCTATGGGACTATCACCTGCGGCTCCTACGACAGGCTTCATCTGCAAGCTAGATGCTAAAAATTTATTTTTTCTTTAGCCCTCCTGTCAGTAGGATTCGAAACAGATTCTGATTTAGTAGGAGGTTATTTTCACGACTATCCTTATGCTTTCCTGTCCAAATTAATTGAAGGTAATCAAATTCATCCTGCTTATATCGGACCACCATGGGTGTATTAGTCTGTTTTCACACTGCTATAAAGAAATACCCAAGACTGGGTAATTTATAAAGGAAAGAGGTTTAATTGACTCACAGTTCCGCATGGCTGGGGAGGCCTCAGGAGACTTACAGTCATGGCGGAAGGGGAAGCAGGCACCTTCTTCGCAAGGTGGCAGGAAAGAGAGTGTGTGAAGGAGGAACCGTCACTTATGAAACCATCAGACTTTGTGAGAACCCACTCATTGTCATAAGAACAGCATGGGGGAAACTTCCCCCATGATCCAATCACCTCCCTGCCTTGACATGTGGGGATTACAATTTCAGATGAGATTTGGGTGGGAACACAGAGCCAAACCATATCAATGAGTTATCAATTTTCTCCCTGATGATAAATATTAACATCTTTTGGTGGGGAAGTAGTATGAGGACAGTGAAGTCCTTTGACTTTGATTTGGGATCAGGTGGTTAAATGAATCCCCTGCTTGCGCAGATGTCTAAGTCAGAAATAATTATTTTTCCATAAAATTTTAGTTTTTATATAATTCTTAATGTAGCTACTAATTATTTAACAATGACGGGGTAGATATTGCTTCTGCTCTGTTAAGATGCTTAACATTACCATTTACTCAGTTTGAGGCTCTGCTCATTAGAAAGGAATGTGGGGACCATTCTCATGACATCTAGCAGAAGGATCCTCAGTTTATTTGGAGGTGCGAACAGACAAGAAAGTAGAAATTGGATTTGGCTGGGCGCAGTGGCTCATGCCTGTAATCCCAGCACTTTGGGAGGCCAAGGCAGGGGGATCATGAGGTCAGGAGATCGAGACCATCCTGGCCAACATGGTGAAACCCCGACTCTACTAAAAATACAAAAACAAGCTGGGCATGGTGGAGCGTGCCTGTAATCCCAGCTACTCAGGAGGCTGAGGCAGGAGAATCGCTTTAATCAGGGAGTCGGAGTTTGCAGTGAGCTGAGATTGCGCCACTGCACTCCAGCCTGGTGACAGAGCGGGACTCCATCTCAAAAAAAAAAAAAAAAAAAAGAAATTGGATTTTGTTAAGCAATTGGGTAAGGCAGAAAAGGAATATGGTCTTTACAACTGGTCAGAGATCTTCATCTGTAAGAGAAAGGGGAAAAACATGTACATATCACTATTTCAAAGAGAGAAGTAGCCCTGTCTGAGTTTTATTATGTGATTCAATTGATAAAGAGGACTGGAAATTAAGAAATCTTTGTTCTATTCCCATCATTTGAATGCTTTCACATTGCTCTTTCTGACTCTGGCTTTTTAAGACAATTGGCTGTGACTTGATCAAAATATCCTCTGCGTGCAGTGGTTTAAGAGCACAGCTCCGTAACCACCATTAGAGAACAAGCAATCTAAGTAACTCATTACATTCTAAGTACTTCTTAATTTAGAAACCAAGGAACTAAATGCAGGCAGGAGATTTAAAAGTCCATAATGATATCAGCTTAAATGAGGCTTCTGGAATTACGTTGTAAAAAATCTGCAGTGTTCTGTTATTCAAGTGCTACTCGGAAAATTGGAACCCACAGGCAGGCAAGAAAAGGGCTCTTTAGCATTGCCCAGGATTTGCTCTGGGTGAAGCTTACTTTGCTTATTTTCTTCTTTTTGGAAGTGAGATTATCATTCCAATCCCTTTTCTCTTGCTCTTGACTCAATGCTTGAAGCATCTGAGAAAGGGAGGGTTCTTCAGTATCAGGCCATCAGATGCCTCCAACTACAACCTTGACCTGTAACATCTCCAGGTCACCTAGATCTGCAATGTCTAGAGCAGTAGTTTTCAGCTCTGGCTGTACACTGAGATCACTGGAGGCAGTTAAAAAAATTGCTATTGTCAAGGCCCTTACCTAGACCATTAAATCAAAATCTCTGGGGCTACAGCCTTGCTATCAGTATTTTTCAAGTTTCATATGAAATTCTAATGTGCAGCAGGTATGGAGATTGGGTCCTGATACAGAGGAACAAAGACATCCTCAAGATCCATCTTGACTCAGGCTTTGCTTCTGAGACAGCAGGTCTCCAGCGTGGTGGAATTAGCCCTGTAGGGGTTGAGTTCCTGGCTCCCCAGTGAAGCTTGGCTTGATATTACAAATTTGGGGCAAGACTAAATGTAGAAGTGAATCCTACTTTATCCTTTTTCTACCCCTAAGGCTGAGGTGGAAAGTAATAGTTACCCTTGATTCACTTAATTAAAATCCAAAACCCTATAGCAGAGTGGTGGCTTAAGAGATACCTTAGATAAACTACAGTATAGCATCATCCATTTAATTTCAGACTACCACTTATAGATGGAATTCTGTGTGCTCAGACACTTTCATATCTCATTTCATTTGCATGTCAACCTCTTTGAGCTAGGATTAATTTAGCCCATTTAATTTAGAGGCACAGAATAATATTTCAAAACACATATACAATGTGTGATGATCAAATCAGAGTAATTAGCATATCTATTGCCTCATAAGTTTATCATTTCTTTGTGTTAAAAACATTTGAAATTGTCTCTTCTAGCTATTTGAAAATATTCAATATATTATTAACTATAGTCACCCTATAGTGCTATAGAACACTAAGGCTTATTCCTCCTATCTAGCTGTAATTTTGTATCAGCTAACCAACTTTTCCCCATTCTCTCCATGCCCCTATTCTTCCCAGCTTCTAATAACCTTAATTTTACTCTCTCCTTCTATGAGCTCAAATTTTTTAGCTCCCACATATAAGTGAGACCATGTGGTACTTATCTTTCTGTGCCTCACGTATTCCACTTAACGTGTGTCCTCCAAGCTCACCTACATTGCCTCAAATGACATTTTTTTCTTTTTATGGCTGAATAGTATTCCATTGTATATATGTGACACATTTTATTTATCCATTCACCTGCTGTAGGACATGTAAATTGATTCCATATAAACTATTCTATTGTGAATAGTACTGCAATAAACATGGGAGTGCAACTATCTCAACATACCAATTTCCATTCCTTTGAGTAAATATCAAGCAGTGGGATTTTTAAAAAGTCCCACAAAGTTCCAAGAAGCAAAACTTGAATTTGTCACATGCCAAGTACTGTGTGAAGTGACATGAATGAAATGATGTGTAAGCATTATATTAGGTGTTACAAGTAATCTAGAGATGATGTAAAATATATAGGGTGATATGTTTAGGTTATGTGCAAATACTATAACATTATATATATATATATATATATATATATACACACAAAATATATATAGTACACTAAATAGTATAGTATTTTAGTATATATACTATCATATATACCAAATACTATTTAAGAAACTTGAGCATTTGTGGATTTTAGTATTCATGGAGGGTCCTGAAACCAACTCCCCATGGATACCAAGGGATGACTGTACATTCTAATTGACACAAAGTTTCCTTAAAAGAAGCAACACACAGATGATTTTAAACTCCAATTGATTTATTGCTTTCAAATATATTTTTAAATTTTCGTACAGTAAAATTCACTTCTTTTGTCATGTAGCTTTATGGTCTTTTATAATTGCACACAGTTGTGTAACCATCACAATCAGAATGTATAAATATTCCATCACCCCAAAACATTCCATCATATTGTCCCTTTGGTATCAAACCCTCCCCATGCTTCCAATCCATGGGACTCACTAGTATGTTCTCGATACCCTACGCTTTTGCTTATCCCAGGATATCGTTTGAGTGGAATCAGCAGAATATGTAGGTTTTGAGTCTGGCTTCTTTCATATAATGCAACTGAGATCCACCTATGTTATTATATCAGTAGTTCTTTCATGTTTGTTGCTGAGTAGTAGTCCTTTGTATGGATGTACTCAAGCTTCTCTTTTTATCAATGGAAGGACATTTGGGTTGTTGCTGGTTTTAAGAATGAAGTTGCTATAAACATTCACACCAAAAAAGTGCCTATTTTACAAATGAAGAAGCAGAGATAAGTCAGAGCTTCAGTAATCAAAACAAAATCACCCATCTAGGAAGCGGCCAAATCGGGATTCAAACTCTTCTTCCAGATTCTAAGTCTGGTTTTTCTGTCAGGTAGTACAGCTCCCCTCACCACACTGCTTCTAGGCTACTATGATATCAGTGGGCAATCAAGCATCAAGCTGAGATCAATCAAGCTGAAGCAGGAGGTAAACTGGTTTTGTCTTCATGAATATTATGATCATTGTTTCTCTTCTGGAACATGGAGCTGAAGTTTCAGGCAATTTAATGTTTTTATTTCTTTTTTTTTTATTTTTTATTATTGTAGAGACGGGATCTCACTATGTTGCCCAGGCTGGTCTTGAACTCCTGGCTTCAGGCCTTCCTCCTGCCCCAGCTTCCCAAAGTTCTGGGATTACAGGCGTGAGCCACCATGCCTGAGCTTGATGTTTACAGACCAAAAGTAAATCTCTCAAGACAATTGAGTACAAGATAAAAGAAGCACTTCTCATCGAATTCAGATTTAAGTTTCCAAAATTCAGCTACCTTTGCTAGTATGCACTCTTCCAAATTGGTGGCTCTTTTCTCTCTGAACTTGGGAAGAAAGGGAAGGATTCCAAGAAGGAAGAGGAGGATAGCTCATGGGATTCTTTGGCATAGAAAAAAATGGCTTCCCTGTATCAGCTCCTTGAAAAATGACATAATTAAGGAGAGAAAGTCCCAGGGATTTTGTGAGGAAATCAAAAATGCCTGCTATGTTACTGTGTGTTCAAATAATTAAAGATTGACTTATGATCACAAACTTTTTTAAATCGATGGAGTTAAACACCTCCTAACCTGAACTATTTTTAATTGATAGAGAATAAAAGTTTCAGCTGGGGCCAAGAAAGGAGTGATTTCTAGATGGTGGCAAGATTGGACAAGATATGCAGATAGCCAGAATACAGGTAAAGTAATTGAAGGTAAAGATAAGGAATCATCCATTTTTTCTTTGAGGTTTTTTAAAACAATAATAACAATCTCAGATATGAAACTGGCAGATTTGTGTTTCATATCTTGAAGAGCTCTGATCATTTCATGTAGGACAATTAAGAGCCCAGTGACAGCATGCTTTAGAGTTTTATTAAATACTTATGCATTGAATGAAATTGATCAAGATGGGGGAGAAAAGACAAATCCTGTCTGCTTTGCAATCCCACTTTCCAGGGCTACTAAACTGGGGTTTGGATTCCAACTGGTGCACCGCAAGATAAGGATGTTTCCCATCCTTGGACAGCCAGGTTAGACCAGAGATGGGCCAAGCTCTTCAGCAAGTCCACTTGCAGCACAGAAGATCCTCAACTATCTTCCAAATGCTATTAAGTTGACCCCAGTTTGTGGTATAAATATTTTTATTTTCTGAGTGACATCATGTGAAAAATGTTGGGAAACTCTTTAGACACAAAGCATTAGATAATCTAAAATCAAGCATTTCTACTTCGGATAGCCCAAGCCAGAGTGAATGTATCTATATTTGTTAGGGCAGCTTAAATTCCCAGCTTTCCCCTTGTTCAGCCCATGCTCCCTGCCCAAAAGTGGAGAAATGCTACCACTCGATTCAACCAGACATTCCCCAATAGGAGAAATATGCATTTGCATATCTCTGCCTTTTCCCAGTATTTCCACAGGCAGGCAAGAAAGGACTGCCACACAGAATCCTGTGAATTCCTATGTTCCATACCATATTCATGGAATTACATTTGATAAATGAGTAACAATGAAATGCTATTGCTTCTTATATTTGAGATTTGATCTAAAAGAAAACACAGAGAGAAATCTGAGTTTTTTGAAGGCAGAATGTTTTATAAGGGGAAATACATATATAACAATTAAATACATATTTGGCAATTAAATATTTGGCAATTAAGATAAGTACAAACAGTTGGGATTTTTAAACATCAGCTCTTTGAAGGAATAGAATGCCTTAGAATGTTCACCCTAGTACATACCCTGGCAAATGAACTTAACGGCAACTATTTAAGAATGAGCATCAGGCCTATGCCGAGTAGAAAGCATGACATTCTAGGATTACGATGATAATTCTACTTTTACAAAACTGAACCATACGGCATTGTTAGCCCTAAGTGGCTTTCCCTTGGAGGTTATATAAAAGAATGACGGTATATTGGATGACCTTTAATTATTCAGTTTCCTTCTAAGGATAGCGATCTGTATTCTAGCTCTGACTGTGGGTCAGAGACTAAATAAGAGAAACTCAAAGAGAACTGCAGCCGAGGAACGAATAAACCAAAAACACAAGCACCTGATCTGTTTCCTTCAGACGATTCCTTTCACTCTGTAGGGCCTATGTATAGTCATCTCTCCCACTCTCTATTGAAATAAACAAGTCTAATAACACCGGATGTGAACGGCAAATTTGAATTTTAAATTTCGAACACTACAGGTAAGAAGCAGGCAGCAAAAGGGGAGCAGAGTATCACCTTCCGAAAACATAACCCACCTCTTACGCCACAAACTTCGGGCCTTGGCAACAGGAGGCGGCAGCATAGCAGCCCAGCCTGGGAGCTGCCCTGCTGCTGCTTTCTAGAGAGGATGGAAATGGATGTGAATGTAGCTCAGCATTCCAGAAACACAGCAGCCTGGCACAGTGAATGCTGGAGTGGGGCCTGGTTCTCGCGCAAGTTGCAGGAAAGATTCTCTGTTCTCCCCAGGTCCTGGCAGGTGTGAGATAGAGGTGCAAGCAAGTAAAAAGAACACCTTGATTTCACAAGGGTATGCCAACGGTGACCTTCAGTTTGTTGTCCCAGCATGCGGCACCATAGCCTATCGGCCTGCAGGAAAGCCCCTGCAGACAGGGAGGTTTGCTGGGAGGCTGGGGCAGATGCTGGTGGCCTGTGCTCAACTTCACACACTGGCATTAGCACTGGAGGGGATTCTACTCAACCTTCCAGCAAACAAAAAAGCATTCTTTATGGGAGGGCCCGGGCACGGTGGCTCACACCTGTAATCCCAGCACTTTGGGAGGCTAAGGCGGGTGGATCACCTGAGGTCAGGAGTTCGAGACCAGCCTGACCAACATGGTGAAACTACATCTCTACTAAAAATATAAAATTAGGCAGGGGTGGTGGCGCATGCCTGTAATCTCAGCTACTTGGGAGGCTGAGGCAAGAGAATCATTTGAACCCGGGAGGCGGAGGTTGCAGTGAGCTGAGATCGCACCATTGCACTCCAGCCTGGGCAACAATTGTGAAACTCTGCCTCAAATAAATAAATAAAGTGAGAGGTACTGCAGGAGATGGTGTTTCTAAGAGCATGGAGAGATGGTAAAGAAAGACAAGTTGGGAATTGACAGAGAGGCTGTACTAGAACAATGTTTTCAAGTTCAACCTCAGGTCAATAGAGTTTGCTAGATACGAGAAACATGGAAATAAATGTTCTTTCTCTTTTCCAAGTGATTTGAGGAAAATATTCACTCTGAGAAAGCACTTCCTTATGCTTCTCAAGATGAAAAGAAGGTTTCTATTTATGTATCATCCAAATGTCCTGGTGAGGAGCAAAACTTATTTGTCAAACACGCTGAACCTACCCACCCATATTGACTCATCCACTATCTCAGATGCTCTCTGAAATCCAGAATCTTTAAAAAGGAAAATAAGATACTTCATTGGCGTTTTTTTTTTCCCAGAAAGTTACTTATTATGACTTTTGTAGCTTTGCATTTTTTCTTTACTTCAACATGTTATTTTAAAAAACTTTTTGGTTTATTGTTAATTTCCCCTTTTGCGGGCTCAGTTGTACAATATGGTATGTGTGTTGGCTGTAATTTTGGAGCTGAATTTATGGGCCTGCTATAGTTCAAATGATAGTCTATTTTTGCTTGTTTTATTTTTTCCTGGGCTTGATATGTTTTATGAGGTTCTTTCCTATAGTGCTGGCATTCATATCTGGCATAACCAAAATTCTGTCTCTTATTTAATATTCCTTCAAAGCTTTAAACCTAAGTATTTTCTTTTCCTTTGTATGATGCTGGAGCTTGTTGTGATTTTTAAAAAATATCTGGAAACATTTCCTTCCACATCAGAAACTCAAGTTTGCAAGAAATCCCTTTGGGAGCCTTGAAATGTTTATTTGAAGGGCAGACAGGAGGGACTGACAACACTGGACCTCCTGTCCACCCAGTCCCTGTGTGCATCTGCGGGAGAAGGGATGAGGTTGGAGTGAGGAGACTGGCACTGATTCTTCACCCAGACCCTCTGAAGCCCTTACCTGCCTGACATCCTCTTTCCTCTCTAGTGAGGTACGACCTCACTGCTCTCATTAGTAAACAGGCTGCTCTTCTCCAAGCTTTCACTTTCACAGTGAACAGGAGACAGCCTCTACTGCTGGGTTTCTTGTACAGGCTGACTTGACCTTCCAGGAAAAATGTAAAAACAAAAACCAAAATTGTAAAGAGGTTTGGGGGAACACAGGGTGGTTCAATAAGACGGGTGCCTGTATTAGTCCACGGAATAAATTTCTGCACAATCCACTCCACCTAAAGGAAGCTATAAAAACCTTATGATTCCCCAGGAGACCCTAGATCCAGCCTAGCCCTGCCCCTAACTAGCTATGTGGCTTTGCACAAGTAACTTCTCCAGGTCTGAGTTTTCAGGTAAGTCAGAGATGAAAGGGACTATGGGATCTTCAGGCCCAACTCCCTGCTATTTCTAGTGTGGAAATAGAAGATTGGAGGAGCCGAATGACCTGGCAAGGTCACGGTTAGTTAGAGGCGGGTCATCTGACTCTCCATAAAACTTTTTTTTCCACCACATCATACAGTTTCTCTCACGTGTAAAACTTGACTGGGGAGTGGGGAGAAGATGGCAGTTAGGAGGAGAGGAGGGGAACAGTTGTGAAAGTTTCTTGAAGTTTTCATGCTGTGCAGCATCCACGGCTGTGGGAAGCTAGGTTGATGCATGTTCAGAGCAGCCACTTCTAATGCCTCCATTTCCTCCTCACTTGTCTCCTCCCCGTCTCTTTCCCCCTCCCTTCCACTTTTTCTCCACACCTCATCACTGTTTTCTTCTTTATCATCTCCCTGTTTCTTTTCTATTCTTCATGATTCTGAGTTAGGAAATACCTTACCAGCAGGTATAGTTTATTGTGCTTTTTGCTTTTTTTTCTTTTCTTTTCTTTTCTTTTTAAGAAAAGGTCTCACTCTATTGCCCAGGCTGGAATGTGGTGGAATGTGTGGCTGCAATCACGGATCTCTGCAGCCTTGAGCTCCTGGACTCAAATGATCTTCCCATCTTAGCCTTCCAAGTAGCTGGGACTACAGGCACATGCCATCACACATCACACATCTCCCAACTTTTTTGTAGAGATGGGGTCTCACTATGTTGCCCAGGCTGGTCTCAAACTCCTGGGCTTAAGCGATCCTCCCACCTCAGCCTCCCAAAGTGCTGGGATTACAAGTGTAAGTCACCATGCCTGGTCTTTTGCATACTTTATTTTCTTTAGGAGAAAAATATGAGAGCTAGCCAATCAGTAAATAGAAATTATGTCCCTTCAAAGACAAAGTGTTTCCAAAAAAAAATTTTAGGAAGATGGAATTAGATGAAAAAAAAAAAGATCTTGTTTTATATTTTTGGGCTTTAGAGGTTAAATCATTTCTATAGAAGGGTGTGCTAGAAAGAAAAGTTAGAAGGCTTGCTTCTGGAAAATGCAGCATTCTAATTCAAGTGTTGTCTGAGAAGAGAAAGCAGAGAGTACTCATTGTACTAATGTGAAAAAGATGAATGACACCTAAATGGGTTTTCTTTGCATCACAGACCACAGTTAAGTGTTTTACATGCATTTGTCACTGCTATTAATGTAATCACATAAAACTTTCTCTTGTTCTCAAGTGCTTTTAAAGTGAGCTATTTGAGCTTTTGATTCTGCAGGTTTTCCTTCTCTTTCAAAATTAGCAAAGGTAATATGTAAGCCCTGAAACTTTTTTTTTTAAATGTAAGAGCAGAAGTAAAGAAAAGAGTATGGTAGTTGCTTGGGTAAATTGAGAACCGTGGCGTATCTTTCATGGGCTGTTGCCCGTAATTGTAATAAAAATATCCTGAGAGGATCATAAAGGACATTGCAAGTGTTTTCTGAATGATATATTAGTACCAGATCATCTATGCAGGCCGTCTGCACAGCCATTCTTCTCCTGTTGTATTTTCCCTCTGACTGAGGAACTCCTGGCCGCCTCAGGGAGAGACTCCCTGCTGTGCCCCCGACAGCAGGAAAATCTTGGGATGGACACAGGGTAGTCATGGGCTTTGCTTTGGCATGGTTTCTGGAGCTCACAGAGTTCTAACTATGTCAGAGGCATGGGAACCAGAGCAACTCCATCTTGAATGGGGCTGGGTAAAATGAGGCTGAAACCTACTGGGCTGTATTCCCAGACGGTTAAGGCATTCTAAGTCACAGGATGTCATAGGAGGTCGGCACAGGATACAGGTCATAAAGACCTTCCTGATAAAACAGGTTGCAATAAAGAAGCCAGCCAAAACCCACCAAAACCAAGATGGCCACGGGAGTGACCTCTGGTCGTCCTCACTGCTACGCTCGCACCAGTGCCATGACAGTTTACAAATGCTATGGCAACGTCAGGAAGTTACCCTACATAGTCTAAAAAGGGGAGGCATGAATAATCCACCCCTTGTTTAGCATGTCATCGAGAAATAACCATAAAGATGGGCAACCAGCAGCCCTCAAGGCTGCTCTGTCTATGGAGTAGGCATTCTTGTATTCTTTTACTCTCCTAATAAACTTGCTTTCAATTATGGACTCACCCTGAATTCTTTTTTGCATGGTATCCAAGAACCCTCTCTTAGGGTCTGGATTAGGACCCCTTTCCTGTAACAACTAGAGTGGGCTCCTTGAAGGGTAGTGAAAAGCCTCTCTTTACCACTTCATTGTACCCTGCCCCAGTCTCAAGAGTGAAAGGGGGCCTGCCTCCTTTCTTCCTTCAACCAGAAAGACCTGATTTGAGACTTGGTTCACCATTTCCAGGCACTGTGGCCTTGGACAAATGATTTAATCTTTCTGAGCCTCAATGCTTCGTATAATACCCACCTTCCAGGGCTCCACTGAGATCATGCATGGAAAGTACCTGGCATAGAGGCTGGCACAGGAAATGCACCTAGTGCTACATGTTCATTCTGCCCGCCAGCCTACTAAAGGGCCATGAAGTTACCAAAAGTGGCTTTGAAAGCCCTTGAGACTTCCTTACTCTGTAATAATTAAGAAGAAGCAAGTTCATTTTTGCTTTAAATTAATAGACTTTTTTAAAGAGCAGTTTAGGGTTTACAGAAAAATTGAGCAGAAAGTATGAAGAGATCCCGCATACCCCCTGCCTTCCACCCATCGTCACCCCCAACAGTTTCTCCTGATGAGATAGGAGATTGCAAGACCAGTTTCCCAAGACACATGTCACAAGATCTCACTGATAAACCAGAACGCTACACAGAAGCCAAACAAAACCTGCCAAAACCAAGATGGTGACAGAAGCAACCTCTGGTTACCCTTGCTGCTGTCATATGCTAATTATAATATATAAAATGCTAAAAGAAACTCCCACCAGCACCATGACAGTTTACAAATGCCACAGCAACTCCCAGAAGTTACCCTCTATGGTCTAAAAAGGAAAGGAATCCTCGGCAATGGAAATACCCCACTCCTTTCCCAGAAAACTTGTGAATAATCTACTCCTTGTTTAGCATATGATCAAAGAATAACCATAAAAATACCAAACCAGCAGCTCTTAGGGCTACTCTGCCTATGGGTAGCCACCCTTTAATTCCTTTACTTTCCTAATAAACTTGCTTTCACTTCACTCCATCTGCTCACTCTTGAATTTTTTCCTGCATGAAGCCAAAAATGCACTTGGTCTCCTGGGCTGAGCCCCAATTTGGTGGTTTGCCCTGCAACACTAGTATTAATATTTTCGCATAAGTGTGGTACATTTGTTGCATTGATGAGCCAATGTTGATATGTCATTCTTACTAAATCTGTAGTTTACATTAAGGTTCACTCTTTTGAGTGTAAATTCTATGTGTTTCAACAACATATGACATACATCCACCATTACAGTGTCAATCAGAATGGCTTCACTGCCCTGAAACTCCCCTGTGCTCCACCTATTTATCCCGCCTTTCTTCTCCCAGAATTCTTGGCAGCTACTTATCTATGTCTCTATAATTTTGCCTTTTCCACAATATCCTATAGGTGGAATCACATAGTATGTAGGCTTTTAGACTGGCCTTCTTTCACTTAGCACTATGTATTTTTTTCCTCCATGTCTTTTTGTGGCTTGATAGATCATTTGTTTTGATTCTTATTTCTCGTTTCAGGAATAATATTTCATTGCCTGGAGGTACCACCGATTTTTTTATTCATTCACCTATTGAAGGACATCTTAGCTGCTTCCACATTTTGGCAATAATGAATAAACTTGCTATCAATATTTGTGTGCAGGTTTTTGTGGGGACATAAGTTTTCAATTCATTTGGGTAAATATTAAAAAGCAAAATTGCCAGATGATTTGAGTGTGCTTAGTTTTCTGAAAAACTGCCAAACTTTCTTCCAAAGTGGCTGTACCATTTTGCATTCTCACCAGCTTTTTTTAAATACTGTAAAACCCTTTAGATGAAAGGGCGCATTTCTATTAGCAGTCACAAACATTTGCAAGTCCCTGTGTTTTGTTTGCATCCAAAAGTCAAGATTATTTGAATTTCTAAGAGACTCAAACTTTCATTCCAAGAGCTCCCTACATCTGAAAGTTATTTCTTCCTGTTACAAAAAGTATAATGAGCCATGTGGGAAAAAAATACTTAAAGGCATGATAAGGTCAAAAATGTATTAAAAGAGTAAATTTTTAGATAAAATTTTCATTTTTTAACACACACAAAAAAATGGCAGGTCATTCACCTAATGTAGAAACCATAAAACCAATGAGGAAAAAAATACTTCGAATAAGATAATGCTGTGATGTGGGTCACTCTAAGGAGAAATAAAAAAGGAAAATAGATGTTTAGCTAAAATTATAATTGCTTTTTTTGGTTATTTTAAGTTCTAATGTTTATATGCTCACTGCTGTATCTTTCTGTGACCCTAAGCCAAAGGAATGTTACAAGAAATGTGTAATTTCTCACAACCTTCTGATAAGACAGGTTAAAATAAGGAAAGTCAGAAAGAAAGGGAGAGGAGAGTTGAGTAATGATTATTTTAGGGCTTTATTCTTGAAAGGCCATCAATGTCTCTGAGAGATTTTTCCACAAGTTGGCTAAGAGTGGGTAGACTCTAGTAGAGTGGTTTTGCCTAAAGTTTGATGGCTACTTATATGAAACTCTGACTGGAGAAATCCCAGTTTATGGTCAGTCTAGCAAGAACGAAGCAAGCTTTCTGATGAATATCCAGTTAGCCAAGAGGTCTAGAATTTGAGAAGAGTAATGAATTGAGATTTTTAAAAAATGGTCACATACCCTCTGAGCCAGACAGCAACCATGTCTAATTTCTGTGGTCCTGAAACCAAATGCCTTGAGATAAGACTAGAAGAAGGAGCCAATGAAACATCAGAGGATAAAATGACCAGTACTTGGGTCAGACTCCAAAAAAGAGAAGAAAAGCCTGGAGGGTCTCACGGCGGCCACAGTAAATGGGTAGATATGGCTATTACCCTGAGAGATAAACGCCCCAAGAGCATGGCTCCTCTGCTGGTTTTCCTTCTGCCCTTTCTCTGGTGATACTCTTTCCTGCTTCCTACTGGCTTTTCCCAACTTGACAAATCACCCAAAGGTCCTTTGACCTGGGAGATAACCAGAGATGTCATCTATCAGGTCCATGGCTGGGGGAAGACTGCTGGTCTGCAGGTTTAAGGAGAAGCTGATTTGAGAACAAAATACGTTGGGGCAAAGAGCACCACAGGATAAAAATCCAAGGAGTACTAGATTTGAGAAGGCAGAGATAGGGAAATAGGAAAACAAAACAAAACAAAACAAAACAAAACAAGAAAACTGTTGTGAAAATCTTTTCACATCTAGCCAATGACTAAAACAAAATTATTTGTTATCCTTTGTATATATGCAGTCTCAAAAGTAGCACAAACATTGATTGGTAAAAATTGAATTGTGTACACATGTTCTCACTCATAAGTGGGAGTTGAACATGAGAACACATGGACACAGGGAGGGGTACATCACACACCGGGGCCTGTTGGGGGGTGGGAGGCAAGGGGAGAGAGAGCATTAGGACAAATACCTAAGGCAAGCGGGGCTTCAAACCTGGATGATAGGTTGGTAAGTGCAGCAAACCACCATGGCACATGTATACCTATGTAATGAACCTCCACGTTCTGCACATGTATCCCAGAACTTAAAGTAAAATAATAAACAGATTGAATTGTGTATTTTTTAACCCTGTCTACTTGAGATACTGTGTCCAGCTAGAGGAAGAGAATAAAAATCATGTCTGGCTGGGCCTGTTCCCAGTTTTGGAACTTGGCAGCTTTTTCAGAGTTTTACTCAAGTTCTCAGGTCAAAGGAATCAAGTAGAAGAGGTATTCATGTAAACATGCTGTGTTTTTCTGTGAGTAACAAATCTACTCCGGTTATTTATTTTAGATTTACAAAAATGTTCCCATCCCAGCAGCTTCAGGGCATGTGACAGTATAAAATTTGAGACTCATTAAAGAAAATTTCTATGTATTTCAGCTTTGTACAATAGCTTCCTCCTGGCCCTCTGAAAATGTTAAAATTTCTTGTACATATAGTTTGCATTATTCTCCAATTGCCAATGAATTTAAAAATGTTTTGGGGTACCTCTACCATTAAAAAATAGTCTCATTAGAAGAGGATGAATTTTTTTAAATGACACATTATAGATTTTAAATTAGAATCTAAAAATTTTCCCCCTGCGCTTTCTACAAACACTTTTTCAAAGGTTTTAATGTGTCATTTTCTTGATAGTTTGGTGTTTTCCCTGCAAGCATGTGCTCTTTCTAAAATGTGTATCATCTCCTGCATCTATTGACGAGTTAGACCTGGGAAATCTAACCCAAGGCATTGGACTTACAGGAGAACTGCCCTTTGCTTGGCCTCATTTAGAAGGAAGGACCTCTGGGGTTAGTCACCCAGATACATTATACATAAAAGAATTTGCATTAGAACTCTGACACTGCTTCTCTTTGAAAAATGGAAAACTATGAGCGAAGTAATGCATCACAGGTAAACTTTGGATGGTAAACATTTTGCCCTTTCCAGATGTCATCACTATCTTATTTTCTTTAAGTCAGCAGTTTTCAAATGTTCACTTCGAGTATCAGAAAATTGGGATTTTGATGACAAATTCACAATGTGCTAGAGGCCATTAACATATTTATGGGGCACCTGTGGTATGCAATTCTTAGTACAGAGGCTATTTAAAGTAAATCAGTAAAATATTTCCTTTCTGACTCTTTTTTTAAATAAAGTATTTTATCCCTTTTGTCAAATAATTCATCATCTCTTTGGAGAAAAAAATATAAGCAAACAAAGCATTTTAAGAATGATTGCAAGGCAATGTTTAAACACGTGAAGAATAATGTAGTGTGTTCTCAGGGCTGTGGAGAGATGCTAGGAAGAGAATTAAAAAGAAACCATAATGGGCTGGGTGAAGATGTGATGGTTTCCTGGAATACCTGCGTTTTGACCTGGATTTTGATGGTTAGACACAAAGGGCAGAAGCCAGGAACTTGTTAATGCAAGTCCAGGACATGAAATCCTTGCATTAACAAGTCCAGGACATGAAATCCCCATGCATGGGCAGGATATGAATAGGAAAAATGGACACAGCTAATGAACGTCTGCTTTAAATGTCTTAGAAATTATGTTTTAGGATTAATTTTTGGATTAGGTAGAATTTGGGGCTCAAACAATGTAAGTCAACTTGAGAGAGTTGAAGTTTAAAAAAGAGGATTTATTATATGGATACTAGGAAACCCATGACACCCTAAGGGGTCTGAGGGAATTAGAAAAACACATACGAGCATCAGTCTAACAGAGTAGTCATTCACCAGAAACAGGCATCACGGGAAACCTCCTCCAACCCCCCTACTCTCTACCATTCCTCTGCTTCTCCTTTTCCATGTATTTCTCTTTCTTTCTCCTCTCCATCTTTCCAGGCTATTTCCTCAGCCCCCTGATCTATGTGGCAGAAAATATGGCCTCAGTGTTTATATTTTCTTTCACCAGCACAGACCGAAGTTGAACTTTCTTGGGCCACCCTCAAAATTGCCAAGAAAGGGATGCTGCTCAGCTTAGCTGATTAACCCTGGACAGATAAGACTGGAGCCTATTGGGCATTGTCACAATGTCTAAAGATGACTGTTAGGAACCTGCTTCTGTGACTAGTGGTGGGGATAAGGGAATCCCAATGAAGGACACCTCAGATAACCCAGTATGTCTACTATACTTATATATCTAAATTCTCATTGTAATTCCACCGGATTCACACTTATCACAGCTATGGAATATTTTATGAATTAGGTTGTTCTAGTGAGTTCTTCGGAAGCCTGGAAATATAGTCCCCAGTTTGAGGATGCCACGTCTTGTGGCCTCAGTCATGGCAGTAAGGCACAGTTGAGGTAGCTTGGGCTCTGCAACTGGAAAATAAGGGGTTGAAAGTTCTGGTAACTTTTCATAGTGGGGGCTCTTCAGTCATCTTCTACTGTCTTTTCTGAATAATAAATTTACCACTTCACCAATTGGACTTAAATCAACCAGCCTGGGTGTATTATTCTGTTCTCACGCTGCCATGAAGAAACACCTGAGACTGGGTAATTTATAAAGAAAAGAGGTTTAATTGAGTCACAGTTCCACATGGCTGGGGAGGACTCAGGAAACTTACAATCATGGCAGAAGGCACCTCTTCACGGGGCAGCAGGAGAGAGAATGGGTGCCAAGTGAAGGGGGAAGCCCCTTATAAAACCATCAGCTCTCGTGAGAACTCACTCACTATCACAAGAACAGCATGGAAGAAACCGCCTCCATGATTCAATCATCTCCGCTTGGTCCTGACCTTGAAACATGGAGATTATTACAACGCAAGGTGAGATTTGGGTGCGAACACAGCCAAACCATATCACTGGGCAACATGGAAAAAACCCATCTCTAAAAAAAAATACAAAAATTAGCCTGGCATGGTGTATATGCCTGTAGTCCCAACTCCTTGGAGGCTGAGGTGGGAAGGATTGCTTGAGCCTGGGAGGTTGAGATTGCAGTGAGCCAAGATCGTGCCACTGCACTCCAGCCTGGGTGACAGAGCAAGACCCTGTCTCAAGAAAAAAAAAAAAATAAAGAAATTAAAGAGCCATTGTGTTAATTGTTCCACTCATAGACATTTTATTCTGGAATTTCTTCTTGATTTATAGTAGAAGCCATCCGTTTTTTGGAAAAAAAAAAAGAGAGAATGAAAGTAAAGTGTAATTGCTCATTCTCATAAATCTTTTTGTTGGCATGTCCACTATTACTGAGAATATTTTTATAGACCTTATTAAGATTTTCTGGACCAAATTGGCATAGTTATATGCAGGTGTCTTTTTGCCATGAGAACTTCTTTGCTACTAGTAATATAAAATCTGCTAAATAGGCTAAATACCTGTCAATGAACACCACATGAATTCATTTTATAAATATGCCTGGAAGGCCATAGGACAAGTACTAAGATGTTTAGAGCTATGGCTATTAGTACAGCCAGCCTCAGATAAAACTGATTTCTAGAAATCAAGCTATTAATATCAATGCACAGGGTTTATAAGCTCTGGGTCACTGGCTTTGCTTTCAGCACTGGCCTCAACTGACTCATAGCTTCTCTCCACTCCATGCATATAGGTCACTGATGTACCCCAATACTAGGAGACCAAAGCACTGATGACGGATTCTACTGCTTTGGGATCTATATTGAGTTAGTGTCATTCATACCACATAAAAAATAACTCAGCCTCAAGATATAATTTAATTCTTCTTGTGACAGAGAACATTAGGATTTAACATTATGTGTCCTCCTGTGAAAGGGTAACAAAATAAAAAAATTACATGATGGAGCTATGGTTGTTGCTTTATTTCAACAAAAGAAAGAACACAAAAGAGGAGACACTTGATTAATAGACTGAGGAAAAGTATGTGAAGCTTTATATCATGTATGCCAATAAAAAACCCTTATTACATCTTGAAACTGAGTCTATTCAGCAACATCTTCACTAGTTTGTTCAAAGTGAAATAGGTTAATTTCCAGCTATGCTCCCAAACACCTACCAAGGTCTTGGGCTTGGGTCCCATTTAGGAGGCTGAGGCTGACTTGGGATTGTTCTGTATGCAGGCTAGGATATGAAAGAAGCAATTCTCAGAGCTAGATTTTACACTAGAAGTTCTCCAAGATCACATGAAACTAAGAAGGAAAGGAGAGAGAAGACAGGGAAACTGAGGTTTCAAACTAAAATAGGGTAGACTGTACATCAATCTGAAGGAAGGAGAGCAGGCAGGAAGGCTGTGACCCCAAAGAAGCAGAGAGAGTAGGTGAGGATCAAGCCCAAAAAGTAGGCTCCGTGGAGGAAGAAAATCATCAAATTGTTTGCCATGGTAGCCCCAGTGTCTAAAATGATGTCTGGCGCATTGTAGATGGTCAATTAATAATAAATGGTTGACTGAATACCTGAATGAATGAAAGGAGGATTTGTATGATTCAGAGCACAAAATAAATGTCTCTTTTATGTCAACTTCAGCATGTATGGCATAAAATTGCTTTTAAAACTATCTGACTATACTAGAGTAGAAATATGCTTCTAAAGGGGTGAATGCATGAAGCCAGGCTGTGCAAAAGGGCTTTCCCTTCATATTTCATTATGATAATTATCTTCATAATTATCGCAGTAACTGAACTTCCATTGAGTGCAAAATCTGTCTCGGACATTTTCCTCTGCTGCTTGAGTGTGTCTTGTGTTTTCTCTTTTTTATTAAAAAAATTTCAGAAGCAATACCAAGTAAAATTCAATGTGTGATATCATAATAGCAAATATGCCTTCCCATTAAAGATATTTCTTAAAGCATACCATTTTCCATTTACTATTTTCTAGACTTGGAAAATGTCATGTTGGCAGCATCAAACTCCTCCCCCATAGCATTTGACTTGCTCTATGCTTACCTTACCCAATCCTATTAACTCAATCTCATATTCTACCATGTATTCACCACCATAATTAAACTGACCTGCTCTCATCTCCATCATATGTTTTATTTCCTAGATTTTTTTGGTTATGTTTGTCCCGTATTTGGATGCCATCCACCTTTTCTATAGTTTCTACTTTCACTTTTCAAGTTCTAGTTTAATTTGCTGTGAATGTTTAGAATGTTTATCTGTCCAGGATTCTTCACAGAGTTTCTATTGCATTTATCATTTTTGGAACAAAGCCAATATTTAGGTACTCTACAGAGGTTCTTTCATGATATTTCAAATATTTCTTGAATATTTCATATTTCTTTCGAATATTTAAACAGTAAATATTTGTTGACTTTTTTCCAGCTGTGCTTTTGTATGTATTTTCATAGTTTTATTTATTTATTTATTTATTTATAATTTGTTTATTTTTTTGAGACACGGTCTCACTTTGTCACCCAGGCTGGAGAGCAGTAGTATGATCTAGGCTCACTGCAGCCTTCACCTCCCAGGCTCAAACAATCCTCCCACCTCAGCCCCCCAAGTAGCTGGGACCTCAGACACATGCCACCACACCTGGCTAATTTTTAAATTTTTTGTGGAAATGGGGTTTCACCATGTTGCCCAGGCTGGTTTCGAGCTCCTGGGCTCAAGTGATCTGCTCACCTTGGTCTCCCAAAGTGCTGGGATTACAGAAGTGAGCCACTGCACCCGGCCCATAATTGTATTTAAAAGCTACCAGAGGCCAGGCGCGGTGGCTCAGGCCTGTAATCCCAGCACTTTGGGAGGCCGAGGTGGGTGGATCACCTGAGGTCAGGAGTTTCAGACCAGCCTGACCAATATGGTGAAACCCCGTCTCTACTAAAAATAGAAAAATTAGCTGGGCATGGTTGTGTGCTCCTGCAATCCTAGATACTCGGGAGGCTGAGACAGGATAATTGCTTGAACCCAGGATGCAGAGGTTGTAGTGAGCTGAGATCGAGCCACTGCACTCCAGCCTGGGCAACAGAGTGAGATTCCTTCTCAATAAAATAAAATGAAATAAAATAAAATAAAATGAAATAAAAATAAAAGCAACCAGTGTCTAAAACACTAGACAGGATGCCATGAGTAGGTGCTGTACCACACATTTTACATGGGCACATTATGCAACACAGTTTTCTACGTACTTCTGAAGTAGAAGCTTATGAACATGATCTGTAGCCAATGAGACTTGTTTATTCCAATGTAGAAAATCATTTTGAAATGTCATAAGTCTCATATTTTTCTTTGATTTCTCTATCTGCTGAGGTATTAGTCTGTTAGCCACAGCAGGTCGAGACTCACATTATCTATCTAACATTATCTATTTCTTTGATTTCTGTATCTGGCTAAGCCTTAGTCTGTTAGCTACCTCAAATAGAGACTAGAAGTCTTTGCTCTGAGTTCATGAACTTTACAATGACTTTTTCAGAGGCAACAGCTGGCTATAAGGACTTCACAGATAGCTGCCGTGGATGCTGTGCAAGTGACAGCAGGTTATCATGAGTTCAGGCTGCTGTAGGGCTTTGTGTGGACTGCAATGTTCTCTTCTGTGGTTGTCTCTTCTTTAGTTGTCCTTCTGATAAACTCTAACTCATTCCTCTAATCATGATGGGCTTATAATTTGAAAGCACTTTCTATGCCAGATGTGGTCCTATGCCAAAAATTTAACATTCATAGTGTCTCATTGATAAAAAGATAATTAACATTTATAACATAACTTATTAAAAACTCATGTTCCTGGCTTTGGGTTATAGCAAATAGCATATACTAGAATAATTTCCTGCCATTAACAATGGTCAACTCTGTACAAAATATAAAACGCAACTGCTTGAGTTACCAAAGAGCAACCACAAGCAGGCAGAAAATGAAGGTGATATGATCCTTGAAATAACCGAATCAAGGTGAGTAATACATATATATTTGTTCTGGCATTTCTTTTTAGGGGAATCTCCAGTCCACGCAGCATATGGGGTCTAGAGCTCTGTCAGAGAATAGAAATCCTTCTGCGCTGAGGAGCTCAGAAGTCAGAGTTCATGGCTGCCAGAGTACCTGAAAATTGAGGGAAGAAATTCTATAAATGAAGCAGTCACCAAAGGGAGCAGATCCTCAAATCTGCACAAAATGACCCTTCATATTTTTAGCTATATTCTGAAATGCACCATTGAAAAGAATGTCTTAAGTAGGAATCAAATGCTCAAAGGCTGAAGGAGCTGGGCAGAGCTTTCAACATCTGCCTAGTCTGGGTTAACAGAATTTGGCATTGAAGTCTTACTAAGTTAACAGGGCTTGGTGAACATCTTGGACTTTCCATTAAAACTCAGAATGGCAACACCTTAGGAATAAGAATCGCATCCCAAAACAAAGATCGAAACTGAAATAGACTCACTTGAACAAAGCCCCAAACTAAAACCAAACAGTGAAAGGATCAAGGTAATCCACTAGTGATTTAACTGCCTGCTAAAAATAAAGCCTCCTTACTCTTCTGAGGAAACTGCAGAACACAGAATCCCTGTAATTTATCATCATGCACAATGCCCAGTGTAAATTTCTTTAAAAAAAATCATTAAACATGGGCTGGGCACAATCGCTCACGCCTGTAATCCCAGCACTTTGGGAGGCTGACGCGGGTAGATCACTTGAGGTCAGGAGTTCGAGACCAGCCTGGTCAACATGGTGAAACCCTGTCTCTACTAAAAATACAAAAAATTAGCTGGGCGTGGTGATGCACACCTGTAATCCCAGCTACTAGGGAGACTGAGGCAGAAGAATCGCTTGAACCGGAAAGGCGGAGGTTGCAGTGAGCTGAGATCATGCCACTGCACTCTAGCCTGGATGACAAAGTGAGACTCTGTCTCCAAAACAAACAAACAAAAAAATCATTAAACATGCAAAAACCCCCAAAAACAAAACAAAACAAAATATAAAAATGTGACCTATAGCCAAGAAAAAGGTCAACCATAGAAACAGACATACAGCTCTCTCAGGTGAAATTGGTAGCCACGGGCTTTAAAATGACTGTAATAAATACATTAAAGGATCTTCAGGAAAAATGAATGACGAGACAGGCAATTTCAGGAGACAGATGGAAACTCCAAAAGAGAAACAGATGATAAACCTAGAATTTAAAAATACAGTATTTGAAGTTTCAAAAGCATTGTTAAGATCAGTAGCAGGTTGGACAGTGCAAAGTAGAGGATCAGTAAAGGTGAAGACAGGTCAGTAGGAATTATTAAAACTGAAGCACGGAAAGCAAAATGATTGAGAAAAATTGAACAGAACTTTAATAAATTAAGCAAAAGTATCAAGTGGTCAAACACACATATACTTAAAGTCTCAGGAGAGAAAAGAGAGATAAGAGAAAAAAATATGAGGGAATATTGGACAAAATTTTGCCAAATTTGATGAATAATATCAACACATAGATCCAAAAAGCATAGCAAATCCTAAATAGGATAAATTACACAACTAGACACATTTACTGAAAACCAAAGATAGTCTTTTTTTTTTTTTTTGAGATAGGGTCTCACTCAGTCACCCAGGCTGGAGTGCGGTGGCACGATCATAGCTCACTGCAGCCTCCACCTCCTGAGCTCAAGTGAGCTTCCCACCTCCCCCTTTCAAGCAGCTGGGACTATAGGCATATGCGATCACACCCAGCTAATTTTTTATTTTTTGTAGACATGGCGTCTCCCTATGCTTCCCAAGATAATCTTCAAACTCCTGGGCTCTAGTGATCCTCCTTCCTTGGCCTCCCAAAGTGCTGGGATTACAGGTATGAGCCACTGTATCCAGCCAAATAATGTAGTTTTAAAAACAGCCAGAGACAACATTACATGTAGAGGAACAATAATACATTTGACCTGTTATCAGAAAAAAGGAGGATGGAAAGTAATGGAATGGCATCGCCAAACTGCTAAAATTAAAAAAAAAAGAAACCTGTGAACTTAGATTCTATATTCAGTAAAGATAACCTTCAAAAGTGAAGAGAAAATAAAGAAAATCTCAGATAAGCAAAATTGGACATAATCTGTTGTGAGCAAATCCATCCTATAAGAAAGGGTAAAGGAATGAGCATTTCAGGCTAAAGAGAAATAATACTAGATGGAAATTTAGAATTACAGGATGGAATGAAGGATATATGAAATATAAATATGTGGATACATATAAAATACAATTTTTTCTGATTGTCTAACAGACAAGGCAAACACAACCATTTTGAGGTTATGATTTATTGAAGCTTACTTTATATCAGGCACTGTGTCCTAAATGTTTTACAAATATTAATTCATCCCTACAATAATATAACAAGATGCAGAGACGTGCAGGAGCATGTCTAAGGTCACAATTAGTAGGTGGTTAGAGTTTAGTGGGTAAAACATGGTTCTGGAATTAAACAGACCTGCATTCAAATCTCATCTTTCCACTTACTAGCTGAATGTCTTCGATAAATTTTCTTAATACCTTAAATATCAGTTTTCTTGTCTAAAAATATGCATAATAATATCGATTAAGTTGTGAAAAATCAAATGATATTGAAATAATTCATGCAAAAAACATTATACCAAAGGTGGACACCTCATAAGCCCTCCACAGAAATTAGCTTTTATTATTATGTGATCTGGGATTTGAACTTAGAACTGTCGGACAATAAAACCCATGACCAAACTTAACCAGTGCACCATACTATCTCTATCCCTCAGGGTACAGCTCTAAATCAGGAAAAATGCAAGAGAAAAAAACAAAAACAAACTCCTTCCCTATTAGGGAATTGAGAGTATAGAAAATGCAAATGTCCCTGCCAAGTTAAAGAAGAAAAAAAATCTGCTACTCTCTTTGATAGAAGACATCTGTTTTCAAAATTCCTAAACTCAGGGGTAGAAATAAGGGCAGAGATATTTATTTTAAATACCTTTAGATACTCCAGATTCCATCTCACACAGCTTTTTACGGTTTTGTTACAGCAACACATTTTCTCTACCGAAAAAAAAAACAAAAAAAAACAAAAAAAACAAGCCATCACCAAAGATGTGCATCTCAGAACGTGAATGATATCAAGCATTTGAAATTGTTAGGACAAAAGTATTTTTCTTGTTCTGGCTAGTTTTGTTGCGTGTGTGTGTTTTTTACATTTTAAGCCAAATCAATCAATCTGATGACCCCATAAAATTTCTGTTATTATTTTGCTTTCTTTTTTTGGCTTTTTGAAAGGGTTGTAAGCAGCAAGGAAGCTTTTGTCTATGAAAATGCATATCTCTATTTAATAGTCACTAAATTTTAGTAGATGTTACAAAAATTTTATATTTGTTTTGCTATTCATGTGATTTTAAAATGATTCAATTTAAAATCAAATGATTTAAAATTCATGTGATTTTAAAATGATTGCTATTCATGTGATTTTTAAATGATTCAATTCTAGGCCCTTATATAATGGGGCCCCTATATTAATGAAGGTATTAATTTGTTTATTCATGTGTCCACTGAAAGGCATTAGGGGACTGACTGATATTTGGCTGTGTCCCCACCCAAATCTCATCTTGAATTGTAGTTGCCATAATCCCCACGTGTCATGGGAGAGACCTGTGAATGAATCACGGGGGCGGTTACCTCCATGCTGTTCTCATGGTAGTAAGTGAGTTCTCATGAGATCTGATGGTTTTATAAGCGGCTTTTCCCCTTTTGCTTGCCACTTTTCATTCCTGCCATCATGTGAAGAAGGATGTGTTTGCATACCCTTCCTCCATGACTGTAAGTTTCCTGAGGCCTCCCCAGCCATGCTGAACTGTGAGTCAATTAAACCTCTTTCCTTTATAAATTACCCAGCCTTGGGTATGTCTTTATTAGCAGAGTGAGAACAGACTAATACAGGAACATACACAAAAGTATGGACATCCAGATATGACAATCTGGAGAGGAGTCAGAGAATCTGCAAGTAATAATATATATTTGGTATGACACCTGCTGTGGCTTAAAGATTAGAGCAAAAGGAAATAGGAGGATAGAGAATTCTAAAATGCCTTTGCTGTGAATTGGGTATTGACATATGTAGGGAAGTTCATCAAATCTTTGTTCAAAAATAGTTAAGAAATACAGTCTAAACACATTAAGATACTTAAGGGGTACTTAAGTATCTATTTTGAAAGTAAAATGTTATATTAGGTCTTAAAAATGCTCATCTTAAAGTTTAGCCTTTTCTGGGTCCATATTAATTTGCTCTGACATTCTATAAATGAATAAGCTAAAAATAAACATAATATTGACATGTTTAAAGTATATTTTCTGTCTGAATTCCTAGCAAGATTAAAAGAAAGTCGAGTACATTATGAAGTAGTTTTGGCATCAACTCAGTTACATACATTTTATAAGATGAGACTAAATCAAACAACTTTAGATAAATAGAGATAACCTGAATTAACAACATAGGGTTATCAGTTGACAAACCTGTCACATATTTCTGTTTTCATTTGGCTTAACTTTGGAGGTATTTTTTGGTTTTACCTTGGCAGAAATTATAAAATGGCCTCGTGTCCTATTTATTTACTTTGAATTTATTTCTCACGGAGGACATGCTGCTTAAGAAAACAGGTGTTTCAGCACAATCCCTGGGAGGGATTACTTAAGTTTAATGTGATTTTGCCTAAAGAATCAAATAAAGTGCTAATGTCTTGTTCTGATACAGCTTAGTAGGTGATATTTACTTTTAAATGAATGATAATTTGTTATTAAAATACCCATGATTCTTACACCAATCTGTTAAAACTTGCCAATTCTTTGAAACCACTAATATTGTCACTATCATGCTTTGGAGTTTTGGGGCTTTGGTGACGTAGGATAAAATCTAGAGAATTATCTTACCACTTCAGCATATCATTGGATCTTTAGTGAGTATGGTTCATTTCTCACAAAATGGCAGTAATAATAATAAATGCCATGGACATTCTGAGTGTATTTTTTTTAAAAAGGATGAGAAGAGAGAAAGCAGCATCTTTGTAGTCAGTATTTTTGTCCTTCCAAAGGTGCTGGAAAGCATTGATATTGCTGAATTGATATCACATGCAAGTCTGAATGTTCTACTTTGTTAATCGTGCTGTGAACAAAAACTAGAAAACTGAAGACAGCAAATGCCATTTAACTCTCTGGATTATTCAGTGTGAGGTGCATTTTAGGGTGAAACTAAAGAGTAGGTCATCCTTGCTTTTTTCCCCCCAACTAATAAAGAAAAATCAAGCAACCTCCTAGAATTAGAGTTCAGTAATAGGTAACAATTTCAGAGAGATCTGAAGATCTGGTAGATGGATAATGACCAGTTCAGGATGCTGACAGCTCATACCTGTGGCTGAGGACGGCCCATGCTCCATGTTTGTTTCTCAGTATAAGAGCAAGTGTTAAGCTGGACTTTAAATTCTGATGACTGAAAAGATCACCTTCCTCTCAGGGCATCTTCTCAGCCATTGTAATTAACCCTAAAATGGACCCTCTCTACTCCAGGACAGGGACACCTTGCGGCCTCCTGCCTCTCCTGTCCCTCCCAGCCCACACTTAGATTTAGGAGCTGCATGAAAAGAGCTCTGTCTTGAAATATTCTCATTTCTGTTAAGGCCTAGTGACCTTCGAAGTGTGTGTAATTTGTTGTCTCATTTACTGTCAAGCTTTACTCACTGCTTTGGTTGGATTTTTACTAAGTGAAGATCTTTCAAAATATATGTTTAGGCCGGGTGCGATGGCTCATGCCTATAATTTCAGCACTTTGGGAGACTGAGGAGGGAGGACTGTTTCAGCTCAAAGAGTTCAAGACCAGCCTGGGCAACACAGGGTGACCCCGTCTCTACAAAATATAAAAAACATGGTTAGGTGTGGTGGCATATGCCTGTAGTTTCAGCTACTTGGGGGGTTGAGGTGGGAGGATCACCTGAGCCTGGGAGGCAGAGGCTACAATGAGCCATGATCATGCCACTGCACTCCAGCCTGGGCAACAAAATGAGACCATGTCTCAAAATATATGTGTGTGTGTGTGTGTGTGTGTGTGTGTGTGTGTGTGTGTGTGTGTGTGTGTGTTCAAATGCCTAGGAGTATATCAAGAAATTGGGTACATTCTTACAAATATAATGGGTAATAGTAACAATGACTGGTCTGCAAAGGAGAATGTGGAAAAATTTTATTTGCTCTGGGTATAACTGTTTGATGTTAGAATTTGGCATTTCCTTGTGGGAAATCTATTATAGGGATGTTCTGCCAAGATAAAGGAAGGAAGAAATAAGCACCGCGCCCCAGTAAGACTATATGGAAGTTTTAAAAAACACTTTTAAAAATAGCTTGTCTGATGATAGAATCAATTGACCTTAAGGAATATTTCCTAATCCTACTGCCATGAGGTGTTCGTTTCCAAATTTGTATGGCCATCATTCTGACAGTAGGCCCATTTCTTTCTTCTAGGTTTCCTAAATCCTGCTCCTAGCTCTGCTGTGGGAGGGGGGCTAGTTTCCATATGTCCACCAAGTTGCTTTGAATCAGGATCACAGTTGCGTCAGGAACATCAGCCCTTGCCTTTCTACACCCTGCCATAAAAAGTGTCTTTTATTTGGGCCTCATGATGTTGCTTCAGTAAGCTATTAGCACTGCAACAAGAAGAGCTTGTTCTTTCTGAAGAAGTATGACTTACAATTTTGAGATGATTTGCCAGTTAAAGTCACAATTACTATTCTCTAAATTGACAGAGAAGTGATCTGCTGAATGTTAACTGATAAGAAACTGTCTTCTAACATATGAATCATAAAGAGCAAGAAAAAAATCAATTTCTGAACTTCCCTTTACTGGTTTGCCTTGATCGATATATACGGACCAAAATAATATTCAGAAATTCTGGAAGGTCTCTGTCTTAGCCCGTTTGGGTTGTTATAACAAAGTACCATGGACTGAGTAGTTTATAAACAACAGAAATGTATGTCTCACAGTTCTAAAAACTGTGAAGTCCAAGACAAATCTCTAGCAGATTTGGGTCTGGAGAGCCACCGTTTCCCAGTTCATAGATGGTGCCCTCTCACTGTGTCCTCACAAGGTGGAAAAGGGAGAACTCCAGTGCTTTCAGCCCCTTAGCAGGGTACTCATCCCATTCATGAGGCTCTACCCACCTCCTAATGCCATCACATTGGTGAATAGGTTTCAACATATGAATTTTGGGGGGTACACAAGCATTCAGACCATAGCACTTTCCAAGGATCGCTTTGCAGTTTCCTATTCTCAGATGAACACATTCCTAAATGTAACAGATCTGAAAGTGCTGGATAATTTGAATGAATGCTGGTTACGCAAAGAAGGCATATATCTTTGTTTGATAAAAATTTGTTACAATTCTCTGTGAATGGAGAAAAGATTTATCAGATACCTTTAACAAGATAGGGCCGGGCGCGGTGGCTCACGCCTGTAATCCCAGCACTTTGGGAGGCCGAGGCGGGTGGATCACGAGGTCAGGAGATCGAGACCATCCCGGCTAAAACGGTGAAACCCCGTCTCTACTAAAAAAAAAATACAAAAAATTAGCCGGGCGTAGTGGCGGGCGCCTGTAGTCCCAGCTACTTGGGAGGCTGAGGCAGGAGAATAGCGTGAACCCGGGAGGCGGAGCTTGCAGTGAGCCGAGATCCCGCCACTGCACTCCAGCCTGGGCGACAGAGCGAGACTACGTCTCAAAAAAAAAAAAAAAAAAAAAAAAAAAAAAAAAACAAGATAGAAAAAAGCCAAATGCTTCTCTCTTAGATAAATAGAAATGAAGGTCTGTCTTACCTATTAGACCTTGATTGTAAGTCATTATCTCACAGGGGTCTGTTTTACTTAACTAGGCCCAACATCCAGGTCAGGAAGAGCTTTTCCTCTAGCCGATTCATATGTGTATTCACCTAACAGATGCTTTAAACACATATTCTCTGCAAAGCTGTATGGCTTCGCTAGGAGTAGAGAACACAGAGATGAACACGATAGGGTCTTTGTCCCTGATAATAACTTAAAGATCCATCAAAGTTGTACAGTAAGTAACAATAAGATTTCTGTTACAGCACAGTGCCAAGTCTGAGCTCCTGCCTCAACTTTCACAGATTAATCCTTCATAGAAATACATTAATCAGGCAACATTGTTTGAGGGAAGAGTATTATTATATTAATCATCTGGAAGGGGAAATTTATTTTGCCTCTGAAATAAGCATGACATAATTTACCTTCTTTTGCATTAGGTGTAAGGGCTAAAAATAATTTAAAAGCAGAGGGAATTCTAGAGTTCTAAAAGCCCTAAAGTAGCCTAATAATGAACTTATGCATTATTTTTTCCAATAAAATAAACATTACTTGAAATACATTACTTAACTTCTATTGGCTCTAATGTAGGGGACTGTAATTATGTTATATACTTGATGATGACTATTCATTGACAATCTTTATGTCAATTGTACAATAATTTTTCTGCTCATATGTGCCAGCACTATGCTAGGAGTTTCAGGGGATAGAAAGACAAGGAAAACCTAGTCTTTTACACATAGGACTGGGACAACCATGGGAAAGCATAGCACAGGAATAGATTACAACATGAACGGACACTTTGGAGGAGGAGCTTTCTGAAATCAAAACTGAACCTTGGACAGGATTCTTGCAGGTGAAGCTAACACCACAGGACAATCAGCTTTAACAGAGTCTTAGAGGCAGAGTAGTGAGGGCGAAAAAAAGGCCCACATTTGGGCCAGGTGCAGTGGCTCACACCTGTAATCCCAGCACTTTGGGAGGGCAAGGCGGGGGGATCACTTCAGGTCAGGAGTTCGAGACCAGCTTGGCCAACATGGTGAAACCCCGTCTCTACTAAAATTACAAAAATTAGCTGGGTGTGGTGGCAGGCGCCTGTAATCCCAGCTACCCGGGAGGCTGAGGCAGGAGAATTGCTTGAACCCGTGAGGCAGAGTTTGCAGTGAGCCAAGATCGCACCACTGCACTCCAGCTTGGGTGACAGAGCAAGACTGTTAAAAAAAAAAAAAAAGAAAGAAAGAAAGAAGGAGGAAGTCCAGATTTGTTAGAATTAAGACTTTATAACTTACGTCCACTTGTAAATATCAAAAGTGTTTGCATTCCACCCCACCCCCGAAATGATATCATACTTTTAGCAGCATTTCATGGAAATCAATGTATGACTTCCAAGTTACTCTGAATTCACTTTGGAATAAATTTACAACAACATCTATATAAATTTGAACAATATCAAGATTAGATGTACAAGGCATATTACTTATTCAGTCTACTACTGAAATATACATTGATTCATGGCTCCACTGGCATACTAACTTGGTTCTCCCAGGCAGAGGTCTTGGCCCACTGTTTGGAATTCATTGATGTCAGGTATGATAGTAACAGAGGGCAAGGCTGGTAGGATATTATCATTTTAGGAGGATGCAGAATGAAGGATTATAAAGGTTTTTTCTTAAGTTAGAAGAAGGTATTAAAAGTATTTGATAACATGATCCGATCTGTGGTTTAGGTAAATTAATTCAGTTTGATGTTAGTTCCAAAAAGCAAAGAGTTTCTCTGTTTTATTCACCATTGAATATACAATGCTCGAATCATAACAGGTGTTCAACCAATAACATTTGTGTTCATTAATTGAACATAAGTGAATGAAACTAATTGTAAAAACAGAGTTTCAAAAAAAAAAAGAGGATGATGATAGACAATAAGAATATTTTATTGTGGACAGTAAGGGATCTGGTATGATTTTCACAGGGACCCTTCCTGTAGAGGGGCAGGAACAGAGCCCACTATTTGGAGTTTAAGAGAGATTTGTTGATGAGAAAAGTGGAGGCCACAAGACTATTTCAGAAAGTCTGAGAGACACTTTGGAGAACACTTGGGCATTGCCTAGTAAAGTTAAGATATACACACCTAGGGCTCGGCAGTTCCAAATGCAGAGCTATGAATACAGCAGTGTGGTTTCTTGCTCTGGGAAAGACGAAGATGAAACATCATTGAGGTCTCTTTCCCAAATAATAAGTATTTAAGGGTAATGTTGGTAATTTACTCTCAAGTAGTTCTGGAAGAAACAGTGCTCTATACCATACTTGCACAATTTCTAAAAGGCTGGGATTGTTCAAAAATAAAATAAAAATTCCTTAAAACTATTTTTAAATAAAAGAAGAAGTATAAAAAATGTATGACAACATCAATAAAAAGCTAAAGGCCACGTGTGGTGGTGCATGCCTATAGTTCCAACTACTCCGGAGGCTAAGGTGGGAGGATCACTTGAGCCCAGGCATTCAAGGTTAGAGCACGACCCTGTCTGTAAAAATAAAAATAGAAAGTTGGATACAAGGCAAGAATTTGAGTGGAGGCATTGTTAAAGGAATATGAAATTTTTATTATAATTTTTGTAGTTTTGTTTTTTAGGATCAGGAGAATGTTGATATGTTTGATGTGATAGGCAGACGAGAAGATCAAGTTAGAAAGAGAAATACAACTGGAACGCGTTCTAAGAAATGCTTCAATCCAGCATGCTAAATTTCATGGGATGTGGAAAGAAAGCAACTTGAAAAAGGTCAATTTTGCGTTCAGGTAGATTGCAAATACCTTAAAACCAAGAACATACCCTTTTACTTCAGAGTGGCTCTAGAATGTAGTAGCAGGTGGATTATAGGTCCGTCTTTATGGGAATACAGATAACAGTTGCTAGGATTTTTCAGCACCACTGTTCCCAATATTCCTGGATCTCAGGTCCTGTAGGAGACTGATTTGGCTTGCCTCCTGGATACAAACACACCGAGGCAGGTTTCGTGAGTGAGGTTATTGTTGTTACGTAAAAGCAATGGCATGATGTTTATGCTCACCCATGTGTCATTACCACTCGTTAGACCTGTGTTCCTATGAACAATTTCCACAGTAATCAGGGGCCTGTTACTACTTGTTATCTAAATAGGGCTCAGGAAGATGCTGTGGCTGTGGGATACAGTAGCCCAGAATATGTAAGAAGTGGTTGACACTGGCTACCAAGTCAGTTAGCCATTATGGGAAATGGAATGAGCAGCGATGCAGTGTGTTTAGGAAAAAATTATTCATTTTAGTCCATTATAACCTCCAAAACTACTGCGATTGAGTAAATAACGTCACTGCTGTCTCTGGCATACAACCATCAGTTGTAGAAGCTAAAGCTAGGAATAATATTATACTGTAATTATGGGTCTTTAATCATCCCAGAAAAAATTGGAGATGAAGATGGACATTAGACAAGGACAATCTCAAGATATTTCTTAAGAAAAAGACAACGTGTAGTGAAGATCGTGGGTTTTAGATTCAGACAGTCAGCCTGTTTAGTCTTAACTTTGTGGCCTTCATCGAGCTAGGGAACCTCATTTTCTTCTCTATACAATGGGGCTAACGGTACATTACAAGGTTTTTATAAAAATTAAAGATAATATATGTGGAATAACTATTATTATTTCTGCTTATTAATAGTGCCCCGTAGTTATTACTGCTTTTTGTATTTACCATATACAAACTACATTCTAATCCAGTGAGTCAATAACCAAATACTTACAAATATTTCACAATCATCAAAAATAAGCAAACACACAATTGAAGAAAGCATAAACACAGGCTTTAAAAGCCTTTACAGTGGTGGTATCTTTCTATAAATCTGCCATTTTTTAAGCTGTTTATTCCTTAACCTTTTGAAAAAAAAGTAAAACAAATTACGTCTTAGGAAGCCTACAATTCAATGAAAGATGGCCAGATAATAGAGTTGCATATAGCATCTATTATCTCCTCCTTCCTTAAGATATCAGAGCCTTTAAAAGGGATCCATTTAAACAGAAAATCTCAAGAGCAGTTTGTATTCAATGATGACAATATCCACACATGGTATTTTAAAATCTCTTTCCAAACAAGGGGATCCTACGCCCTAGCTTGCCTGGGACACTTCCAGTTTATTTCTGTTATTCTGGCTTACTTATTGATAGTCCTTTCCATCCCTTCACTTTCAAAGATCTCCTGGTTTGGATAATAAATACATTCATCCTACATATAGCATTTTACACTTAATTTTTCCTAGAGCAAAGATTATTTTAAATCTAGTAATTCCTAAGAAATTATAATCACAAATTACAAATTATAATTATAATCACAATTTTAATATGTCTTTGACTTGGAACCCAGGTTATATGCAATGCAGCAGAAGATACTGAATATTTTATCTGCAATCTGAATAAATTACACAGATTGGCATCTAAACTATGAAATGTTTTCACAGAAAATTTTCTAGTGGCATTTTATTAATGGATCATAATATAGCAAAAGAGAGAAAGGAAGAAAGATTTGCAAGACCGAAAGATGACCAAAGCAAATGGAAACCTGTGCTGGGCCACTGGTGGGCAGGGTCACTGGTGGGCAGTATCTGCTGGGCAGTCACTGCTGGGCGGGGTCACTGGCAGGCAGTCAGTGATGGGCAGGGTCACTGGTGGGCAGTCATGGATGGCCAGGGCAGGATGGATAACTCTGACATCAAGTGTGCTTATGCTGTGCCCTCGATGGTTTGGAAGCTCCTTCCAAATCTGATAAGGAAGATAAAAGGATCTTATTTTGATTGACTAGAAAATGATTTTTTTTTTTTTTTGAGATGGACTCTCACTCTGTTGCCCAGGCTGGACTGCAATGGTGCAATCTCGGCTCACTGCAACCTCCGCCTCCCGGGTTCAAATGATTTTCCTACCTCAGCCTTCTGAGTAGCTGGGATTACAGGCACCTGCCACTGCACCTGGCTAATTTTTGTATTTTTAGTAGAGACGGGGTTTCACCATGTTTGCCAGGCTGGTCTCGAACTCCTGACCTCAGGTGATCCGCCTGCCTCGGCCTCGCAAAGTGCTGAGATTACAGGAGTGAGCCACCGCGCCCAGCCGAAAATGATTTTTTTAATCTAAATATTATGCAATTTTTTTCAGAATTGCTGTCAGATTTTAACACCTAGCTCATTTTGAACATTTTGAATTCTGATGTCCTGTACCCTGGAGATGAGTTCGTTGCACAGAATTAAAGAATGAGGCCATACGGAAAATACCAATGTCTATACTGTTCTTCCTGTCTGTTTTATTATGTCTCTCCTCTCCTCTATTCTCCCTTCTTTTCCTCAATTAGCTACAACATTTATAATATTTTCAAGAAAGAGAGAAACTGTGATTATGCCTTCTGTTGGTTAAAAACTGAGATTTCTGGATTAATTGAAGCTTGTGAGGAAATTCAAATCTATTACTTTTTGTAACCCTAGTAAGTTATGAAAATAATACTTAAGATAATTTAAACATCATTAGTTTATGAAGTATAAATGTACTGATTTTTGTTATGATGACACTATACCACTTTAAATAGAACTGTAAGCATTGTGCTTCTCAATATTATTTATTTACTCGGCCTTACTTCTATTGAACTTATTACTCACAGGAAAAACAAAATGGATATCTTGGCATGGAATAAAGACTGATAGAATAGATGGCTTTCAATGCCAAATGCCAGAGCAAAGATTATTTTAAATATGATAATCCCTAAGAAATTATAGTCACAAATTACAAATTATAATTATAATCACAGTTACAAATCCATAATTGTGAATCACAGATTTTTTTGTCTTGCATAGACTTACCATCAGTAAATTTCCATGAGTAAAAATTTCTGTAAATTCTATATTTAAAAAATATTCAGCCTGAAGCCTTCTAGTAATCTGAAGACCCTTCTATTACTAATCTATTCACATGCACAAGGAGGCTTGTGCCTATTTGTGCATTTACTTTAAAAAACTAGTTTAGAAGAATTTCTGAGCATGGCACCCAAAGGCAGAAATCATTATGAAAAACATTTTAGATTTAACTACATGAGAATGAAATTTTCTGTAGAGCAAAACCCACTATACTATACACAAAATTAGAAACAGAATATGTAAAATACTTGATAGACAAAAGATTACTACAATTAATACATGAGTTCTCACAAATCAATTTTTAAAATCGTCTCCCATAGAAAAAATGGCAAAGACTTGAAAAGAGAATTTACATCATAACACAGTCAAATAGAAAATAAGATATTCTATCTCACTGACAAATAAATTCAAATTAACATGTAATAATGGGATACAGCACTTTCACCCAGTAGACTAAGAAAGGGTTTTTAGAGTGATCATGCCTACAACTGATGAAGATGATGGCAACAAGTCACTTTTGTGCATTTGTTGGTGACAGTCTAAGTCAGTAAAAATTTCCTATAAAGAAATACAGTAACATGTATTAAAAGCCTTAGTGGTGTACAAATCATTTGACATGGAAATTCCCCTTCTAAGAATTACTTCTTAGCAATGGATTGGAAAAGAGCACAGGATATGATAAAGATTTTCACCACAGGGATTGACTACTTGGTGAAAATTGGGAAGAGTCCAACTGTCAATCAATACTGAGTTAATTAAATACAAATGGTACATTTATATATGGAATGTTCTTCATTTGGTAAGAATGCAAATTTATTTTTATTGACATACAAAAAGGCCAATATATATGTAACTGAAAAAGCTAGTCACAGAAAGAATATTTATAGTAGGATCCCATTTTTTAAAAGAATACAAACCAAAATTATGTCAACATTATTTTTCAGTGGTGAGATTACAAAAATTTTTACTTTCTCCTTTATATTTGTCTAATTTTCTAAATTATTATAATCAGGATGAAAACAATAAAGGAATTTTCCTGCTCCCCTTCATTTTCCCATTATAAAGGAGAAGATGTCATGGTAAGTAATGTCTGGCCATTTTCGGTAGGTGGATGTGAAATTTAATCCACAGTTCAAAAACCAGCCTTATTTACATTCTAATGAAAATCTAAATGGAAAATGTGCTCTGTACTTGAAACTTCAAGACATTGACAAAGTCAGTGGGAAATCCCTACATCCAGTGGCTGTGTGGACCTCTGCAGACAGAAAGATCACTTGGAATGAAGGTTCACATATGTCATGGCATAAAGAGGCTTTGCAGAATGGCAGTCTAGTTGAGGGGGAGATTTCTTAGTATCATGATGTTGCTATTCAGAAGGTGGGCAGCTCTTAGTTTGCTTTTCAGCCCTCTTTCATCTCACTCACCAGCACAAAGTGAGCCAGTTCTTGGGAACCCAGAGAAAGCATAGTTGGAGGAAACTGGGAGAGGAGGAAATGGTGACAACCACAAGAAAACCTTCCAGGCCACAGCTTGCAGAACAATGCCACTATGCCCATAAATTTAGTGCTAATTTTATCTGTGGAAAATCACAAAAATGAGCCTGACTGCCTTACCTCCTGCTCCACATACAAATATTTAAGTCAAAATTTAACCCAGGGAGAAAAACAAAATGAGCCAAATAAATACATGTAGCTAGCTAAGTCCTTCACAAAGGGGCCTTCAGTGTTTCTACCCAGCATAAGAACATAACTCCTGGCTCTTCGACTGAAATGATTCATGAAAAAAAAAAAGCTAAATATGTTTTCTTAAGAAGAAATTCAATGTGTCAGAAAAATATGATTGTCCTAATCCAGTTTAACTTTTAACCTCAATAAATAAGCAAGAGAAGTTTGCAACCTGAGCCTTTCTTCCCAGTGAATGTTTCTTTTCCTTCTTGCTCCTGAAGAGTTTTTCCTTTTTATCCTGGGGACACAGGAATACAATAATTCATCAAAATTTCATCCCTGCAGGAATCTGGACACCCCCAAAAAATGAGCTAGTAAAGGAAATCATGAAACCTACCTTCACAAATATTTTTTTCTAAAGGTAGGCACCCAACTGGGTACAGCCCAGAGGGAGAGCAAAGGATGAACTCGGGGCCCTCTATAAGACTTTCTCTCCCTGGATGAAGAGAGTGGACGAGGGCCAGGACACAGTGCTCCCCCGTTATCATTCAATTACACAAGCCTGGACAAGTCACTTTGCTGCTCCAGGACCCTGCAAGAAATGTTTAGACTAAAGGATATCATCTGTGTCTTACAGTGCTAAGATTCAATTATTTGTAATACACAACTAAACAGAGGTGGGGGAGAGAAAGGGTACAAACCAACATGTACAGAGTGATCCTATTTCTGTGAAACAAAGCAGAAACACAGTAATAAAATGAAAACATATGTATCAGGCAAGGACTGGAATGAAACTCAACAAAAATCATATTTTGATTGCAGTTTTTTCTGTTCTTCATACAAGTCCTTTGTCAGCATAATATTGCAAGGAGTATCTTCTCCCAGTCTGTAGCGCACTTTTTTACTCTCCTAAATGGTGCCTTTTGATGAGCAGTTGTTAATTTTAATGTAGATCAATTTATTATTGTTCCCCTTTAAATTAGCACTTTGCCCTACGTAAAAAAAAAATCTTTGCATACACCGAGACAGGAAACTATCAATGGTTTATTTTTATTTGTATGTTTTTGAATCAAGCCATTCAACCAGTGGGCCACGGAAGTGCCATTCTCAAGGGCAAGTGACAGAGGTGGAATGCCTTGCTTCAAAATAGAACTTCCAAAGGGGAGTCTCAAAGATCTGGGTTCCAATTTTTTTCTGCAGAATATATGTCCCCTGGGAAGTTGATTCTGTCTTTTTAGTAGACTCTAAATCTCACTATGCACAATTGGCAAATTCCCTACTTGTCAACCTTTTCTCTGAAAGCTCTCTTGACTGTAAGTGTAAGTTACTGAAACTATCAGCACTCCCACCCCACCCATCCCTTCAAGCAAGGGTGAATCCAGGGTTTTTGGAGTCCTGAAACATACAATTTGGAGAGCACCCTTAATGAAAAGAAAATAAATAAACTACAAAATACCTGGGGCAATGGCAGTAAAAATGAGAAATGTAGAAGGTCCACAGCCACCCTGGGAGGGGCCAGTACAACTGAGGGGTTCTGTGCACAGGTCACAGTGATCTCTGCAGCCTTCTAAGTAGGAGGCTGTTTGTCCTCATTCATCTCGGTACCCAACAGCCTGAAATTGGACCAGAGTGCTGGTTTTAAGTCATTTATTTTCCTTCTTCCTTCAAAAGCCCTCACCCTTCTGACTTTCATGACACCAGACCACACATCCACCTTTTGTTTTTGATGTTATTACTAACCTCCCCTGATCACTTACCTTCTTCTACTGAGGATTTTAGCTCACTTAGGACTGCATTTGTTTTATCTGAGTTCTTTCTCAGGAAAGGACCTTCAGGCCTCTCAAAAAAAGTATTAAAGAACTGAAACTCACCAGGTCAGGGCACCAGGTGCCTCCTTGCCCCTTCCTAGCTCCTGTTTTCTTACACATTGCTATATTTCTTGCCTGCTATAGTTTTAGTCAGTCAGGGAGATGGACTTGAGACTGAGTTCCCATTTCTTTGGCGGCAGCACCTGATTAAAGCCTTCTTCCTTGGTTGTCTCAGTGACTGGTTTTCCGTGCAGCGAGCAGCAAGTCCTAGACCAAACTCCTGGTGTTTTGGTAACACATCCAACATCAGTGTCCTCCATCTTTTAAAACTGCCTCTTGGACTCGTATCTTCTTCTAGCTCTCACTTGGTTTTCTTATCTCCTTCAGAACAAATAATCTTATGAGCTTTCTATATATTATGGTCCTCACTTCCTTCCCCTGCAAGTCTATCTTGAGCCCCCTTAGAACAAAAGAATGTGGGGTTCTCAAGTTAATAAGGAGTCTCAAGTTTCCAAAAGCAGCCATCCCTCTTGACTTCATCCTGCTTATCATCTTGGCAGCTATCCACTTTAAAAAGAAAAAAAAGCTTTACTTTGTTGATCACCATGATGCCATACTCTCCTGGTTTCTTTCCACCCGCTCTGGCCATCATTCTCCCATTCTCCTTTGGTGATTTTGCACCCTCTACTTAGTCTCTAAATATAGGCGTTTTCTAGTCTCCGTTCTGATTCCTGAATCTTATCCCCTTCTTCCTCTTTTCTCACTACCGAGGTGATTTCCTCCAGTCACATGGCTCTAAATGCAACTTACATGCACGGGATTCCAAAATGTGTATCTCCACTGTTTCCACTTCCGACATCTCCTCATGTATCTCTATCCTGTACTGGTTTCATGGGGCTGCCATGGCAAAGTACCACAAACCAAGTAGCTTAAACGACGTAAAATTTATTGTTTCACAATTCTGGAGGCCAGGAGTCTGAAATTAAGGTGTTGGCAAGGTTGGTTCCTTCCGAGGGCTGTGAGGCAGAATCTAGCCCATTCCTCTCTGCTGTCTTCTCATAGCTTCGGGCGTTCCGTGGCTTGTAGATGGTGTTTTCCCTATGTCTTCACTTCCAATTCCTTCTTTGTGTGTCTATCTCTGCCCAAATGTTACATTTGTACAAGGACATATTCATATATTAGGGACCACCCTAAAAACCGTGTCTTAACTTCATCAACTGCAAAGACCCTATTTCAGGAGATTAGGTCTGCAACATCTTTTGGGACGGGCAAGAGGGGTACAGTTCAACCCACAACACCATCAAACTGCTTCCCTGACACCCCTCTTCGACAGGAATGTCAAACTTAACATGTACAAAATAGAAATCTTGATTGATAATTTCCCAACTAAGATTTTATTTAGGCATATTTATGTTCATATCTAATTTCCTATATGTCACTCTTGAAGATTCTCTTTCCCTCATACTCACAGCCAATACTTCAGTAAATTATGTCAACTCCATACCATGCTGTGAATCTGTCCACTTCTTTCTCTCTCTACCACTACCACTTGATCCAAGCTACTGTCATCTCTCAGCTGAACCGCAAAAATCACCACCTAGTTCTATTCTTGTATCCCTGCAATCTAGTGTCGACCCTGCCACAAGAAACTTTTGTCTTAAATTTTGTTTCTTTTTGGTGAAAGTAATATGTATGCAAAATTTGAAAATATATAATGTATTGAAAAACTATGATACATGAATGTACATTATGTGAAGTATTGAAAAACAACTCCCTACCCTTTATTTTCATGTTTCTTCTGGTGTTTATTTACACCTTGCTAAATAACATGAATAATCTACTATTTCTTAATTTACGAATTTTCAGTATTATTCACTGGCCGCCTTTTATGGTTGGTGAAGACTTAGCTCTCTTATACCACCCTTCCCCCCTTCTCTATTTATTTCAGAATAATGTTACTATTTTATTACTAAATAATTTATCAGTGACTTATTTTGTTCATTTAAATTGTTAGTTTTTCACTCTAGAGCTAAGTAGTTTCCTTTTTGTACATATTATTGTGTTTCGTTTGTGGACGTAAGTTTTTGGGACCTCATACGATGACTCAAATGTCTGAAAATAATTTTAATTTACCCTCAAACTTGATGATAATTTGGCTGGGCATAAAATCCTAGGCGGAAATATTTTCCTTGATACTTTGTAAGCATTCCTCATTTCCTTCTCTCGGTGACATTAGCATTGGCAAGTTGAAAGGTATGTTAAATCTTATTCCTTTGTAATCTGTCTTTTCCTATCTGAAAGTTTCTAAAAGCCTCTCGTGATGCTCTTATATTTCATTATGGTGTGTCTTGCAGTGGGTCTTTTGTATTCATTCTCTTGGAAATTCTGTAAAACTATTCTATCTAAAGATTCACATCCTCTAACAGGGGGAAATGGTCTTGTATAATTTTTTTCATACTATCTTTTTCTCTCTTTTCTTAGTTCTCTGTAATACTCTGAGTTAAATGTTAAACACTCTGGTCCGCCAAGTCTTGTCTTTTCTTCTTTTTTTTGATCATTTTGTTTTTGTTCAACTTTTTGAAAGATTTCTTCAACATTATTTTCTATCGCCTTTCTTGTATTTCTTATTTCATCAATACTTTCTTTCTATGTTGGTTCCTTTCTTACAGTTCCCTGATCTTGTATTAGGTATGCAATATCCTATCTTTCTAATGATATTAACAATTTTTAAAAATTGTTATGCTGTTCTTTGATTTATTTCTGTTTCCCTTAGAATTATTTTTTCTATTTGCTTTGAGCTCTCTTTTTTATATTGGAGGTTTCTCTCAAATGTGTGATGATTCTTATCTCCTTGTTTACATTGAATGGTGCTTGGAAACCAGATCTAGTCCACAATCAAGACTGGCCAAGTGGTGGCTTCACTATAGGCCATGCAGTCTGGGAATTATGTTAAAATGTGCTCTCTGGGACTTTTCAGTTTCATCTAAGCAGAATTTCCCCAAGTCTCTTTCCTGTGGAGTATGGGCCAACATTCACACAACAGGCAGGTAAAGGGGGTCTCAGAATTCCCCTAATCCGTGTGAAGGCTCTTGATTAATCTTCTGTTTTCATCCCCAAGCTGCACACACCCACCCTTCATTCAGCCATGTGCCCTGGTTCCTTAGCCACTTAAAGCCAAATGCTCCATAGAATACATGCTCATTTTCTTGCCATAGAGGGCATCTTCTCAATGCCTGATGGGCACAGGCATCTGGAGACTAACAGTTTCATGTACAAATTTTCATCCAATCCCTGTTTTCAGAAGCTTACCCACCCTGCTCTGCATGATACCTTGTGCCTTCAAGTCTTGGACAGTAAGAATTGGCTCACTCTTCATTCCTCTGTCCATCTATTTCCATTTTCCAAAAAATATATGTTACTGTTATAGTTCCTACTGTCTCCTCACCTCTCCTCATTGCTCTTAAAGGTTTATGCCTTTTTTTATTCCTTTGCTGTTATTTCAGCAAAGTCTTTGGAACAAGAGGAAAAAAAACACATGTGAGCAATCAACCATCTTTAACATCTTTATGGAACAATTATTCTAAAATGTAAAATAGACCATATCACTTACTGTTTAAAATTCTCCAGTAGATTTTTAAAAATCATATTAAGACTAAATTCCAAACATGTTACCATGGCCTCTGTGTTAGTTCATTTGCATTGCTAAAAAGGAATACCTGAGATTGGGTAATTTATTAAAAAAAAGAGTTTTATTTTGGCTCACAGTTCTGCAGGTTGTACAGGAAGTGTGGTGCTGGAATCTGCATCTGCTGAGGCCTCAGGGAGCTTCCAGGCATGGCGGATGGTGAAGGGGAGCCAGTATGGCACATGGCAAGAGAGGGAGCAAGAGAGAAAGGGAGGGGGTATGAGGCTCTTTTAAACAACCAGCTCTTACATGAACACATAGAGTTAGAACTCATTACTGAAAGAACAGCATCAAGCCATTCATGAGGGATCTGCCGCCATGACCCAAACACCTCCCATTAGGCCCCAACTCCAATACTGGAGATCAAATTTCAACATGAGATTTGGAGAAGACAAAACATCCAGACTGTATCAGCCTCCAAGGCCCCATGTGACATGGTTCTGTATATCTTTCTGTCCCCATCACTTTCCATGTCCCCTTCACTGGCCACAGTGGCTTCCTTGTTGCTGGAAGTCTTGTTTTCACCTGATTTGTTTCTTTGTATTATTCAGATCTCAGCTCAAAAATCACCTCCTCAGAGAAACCTTCCTGATTTCCCTAACACAAAGAAGTGTCCCCTTTGGGCACTGTCCACTATAGCAATTTGTTTTAATTTTTTAAGAGCACATTTCACTAGCTGTAATTATCCCATTTATTTCTTTGTTGATCAATATTTTGCCTGCGTCCTCCCCACTAGAATGTTGGCTTCATAAGCACAAAGGCTTTGTCAAGCCTGCTCACTGCAGTGTGCCCAGTGCATAGCAAACCACAGATACCCAATAAATATGTATTAAATGACAAATACAGAATGTTACTATCTTCATTGATCAAATGGGGCAGAATATACTATGTCCTCTGGTACAACACAAATAGATTCTGGAGAATCTTAGAAGAATTTATTCTAAAAGCTTTACTCCAAACTGCAACATATTGTGACTTTGAAGCATTTGATTTTCCAATCATATTTAAGAGGCTGCTGTGTAGAGAACTGAGGGATCCGAAACCCTTCTGAACTAGCTTCTTGCCCACCATTCCTACTAGTGCCAATTTATTCATTCGATCCACCGTATTAATTACCTACTGTGTGTCAGGCACTGTGCTAAATGTAAATATGTACATTGGACACAGGCACTATTTCTGAAGCTTCCCTATTGGTGGGATAGGCAAATAAAGAATAATAAACAGCTAAAGAAGGAAAATCATTACAAGTTTTGATGAGGCTTAGAATGGACAAAAACAAATGGGCAATTCAGATAGGTATTATACATAGGGATCTACTTTAGATAGAGTAGTCAAGGAAGGGCTCTTTGAGAAGAAACTAAAATTTGTTCCAATAAAGGAAGAAAAAGAGGGCTGGGCCTGGTGGCTCATGCCTGTAATCCCAGTACTTTGGGAGGCCGAGGTGGGTGGATCATATGAGGTCAGGAGTTTGAGCCCAGCCTGGCCAACATGGTGAAACCCCATCTCTACTAAAAATACAAAAAATTAGCCAGGCATGGTGGTGGGCACCTGTAATCCCAAGTACTTGGGAGGCTGAGGCAGGAGAATTGCTTGAACCTAGGAGATGGAGGTTGCAGTGAGCCGAGATCATGCCATTGCACTCCAGCCTGGGCAACTCTGTCTAAAAAAAAAGAATCTCACCAGTCACATTCTCCATTTCTGGGAGATATTCACTTGTCTTGGGTCTAGTCACACTTGCCTTTGACTTCTTGTAACTCAAAGACAAAACTTAATAGTTCCACAAAACACATCTTATATAATACAGTGGGTGTGGCATAGTGGTGGAAATAAACTAATATATGCAAATATGTACATAAAGCACAGAAGAACCTGTGCATAGCAACTCTAGTCCTTGTTTGTGCAACCGGTCATGAAGCCATTCAGTTGCATCTTTTGTGACCCAGTTCAGGCTCCCATTGTCATCGGCCAGCACTTCAGTGCCTCTTGGTTCTTTGGTTCTTTACTTGGTAGGATGATCTTTCCTTCTTTCCTGAAGAGTCTGAGCTATTGGTGCTCCTGCCTCTGCTGGGTGGCTGTTCTCTTCTATTAACTTTTACCCCTGAGTGATAAAAAGTGCTAATTATTGCCTCTGAGAATACCCTGAGTTCCAAACATATTCCTTTTTGCACCTATGATATAGAAATGCACCTTTTCTCCCGTTGGTAATGAGGATCATTCACTCTACTTGATACAGTAAAGTCTACTTTGCCTTTTGCAAACAAAGAGAAAACTAAAGATGCAGTTCAGTGCTCACTATTCAGAAACATAACCAGGTTAGTGTGTGTCATGAAAATTAAGGAAGAAGAAAGTGGACAGAGCTATCAAACACTGCTGTTGTGTCAAGGATACAGAGCTGACAGCAGATCTGCAGATTTGGTGACTTCAAAGAGTAATTGCAATGAAGAGGTGAAGGCAGGAAATAAGGAATGTGGACTAGTTAGAGGAGAAGGTGGAGGAGGGAGAAGCTGTAGCAGATTTCTAGTCATTCAAAATGATTGCCAGTGAAGGGAAGAGAACAAGACAGGGCCAGGGGTGTGGTAATGGCGATGATAAATTTTGAGGAATAGCACTTGCCCTATCTTGGAATTGTCTCTAGCACCTCTCAGCTTCCCTAGCTAGATATTCTCTGCTGTGAAGAAATTCCCCCCCACTTTTTTTTTTTTGCAGGCTCCTTATGTACCTACTATTTCTCTCTGCCTGTCTGTCTCTCAATCCTTTCCTCTTTCCTTATGCCTGCCTCATCTCTCTCGCCACCCTTCCTTTGCTGCACTGTTGATTTCATTACACTTTGGTTGTTATGTCTGCAGGTGATTCTATAAGCCAGCAGTTTTCAAAGTGCGAGCCCCAGACTGGCAACATTGGCATTGTTGGAGAACCTCTTAGAAATATGGGCAATCGCCCCTGCTGCGAACTGACTGAATAAGAAACTATGGGAGTGGGGCCTAGCAATCCAGGTGTTAACAAGCTCTCAGGTCATTTTGATGCACCTCCCAGATGATTTTGATACACCTCAAAGTTTGAGGTCCATTGCCATAAGCCTCATTCTAGTTTCCGAGCCTTCTTCCAAGCTCCAGGTCAGGCAGCCCCATGAGCCAGGCATGGTCACCTGGACACATCATTCAGTATCATTGCTTGCTCCTCTCCAAGACCTCCAGCTCCTCTTTGCTCAGTAACCTCACCACTCATTCCTCCTCTGAAAAATTTTCAAGTCTCTTCATTGTAATTGGTTTTTGTAGCATATTTAACTGTTCTATATTTCTTTTATAATAAAATTAGTTCAAATAATTTTAACACTCTGAATGTGGCTTGACCAATACAAATTTATTTATTGTTATTTGTTTTTTCCCTTGTGTGTATCTTCTTTGCCAGTTTGGCTGATCGAGACCTTTGTATTTTTATAAATATTCCAGCATTTTATATAGTAGAAGTATAAATTCATTAATCACATTTATCACAAATACTTTCCTGTTCTGTTGGCTTTTTAAAGTTGTGTTTTATTGTATTTAATAGTAATAAAGTTTAAAAGTCAATAGTATAAAGGATAAATTATAGACAAATGTGTGACTTTGTAACATTTTTTTCTTTGTTTTAACTTTTATTTAGAGTTTAGGGGTACATGTGCAGGTTTGTTACATAGGTAAGCTTGTGTCATGGGGGTTTGTTGTACAGATTATTTCATCACCCAGGTATTAAGCCTAGTACCCATTAGTTATTTTTCCTGATCCTCTCCCTCTTCCCACCCTCCACCCTCCCATAGACCCCAGTATGTGTTGTTCCCCTCTATGTGTCCATGTATTCTTATCATTTAGCTACTACATATAAGTGAGAACAGGCTGTATTTGGTTTTCTGTTCCCGGGTTAGTTTGCTGAGGATAATGGCATTTTCTATTGTTCAATAGTTAGAAAATTATCATTCCTAACAGAGTTGAAATGAATTCTATATTGTGGTTTCCAGTGTTTTTCCATGGCTTAAAAAGCATGTAACAGTTTTCCTAGTTCATTTAGGTTTAGGGTATAAAATACCAAAAAGCTAATTATACCTAAAATGCTTATTAGTCAATAATGACTTTCCCAACTGTTTTATTAAACTTCATTTTTCAGATGCAGTAGAGTGCAAAGGTTAAGATGTAGCTCTAGAGCCCAGTGGCTTGGATCTAATATTAGTTCCAGCTCTAGGTGATGAAGCTAGCTTGGGAAAATTACTTCAACTTTCAGCACCTTCATCTCTAATGATGCTCCCTTCAGGTCACAGAGAGGATGGAAGGAATAAGTTTAGTGTTAGGCACACAGTAAGTGATCTGTAAATTTTAGCTATACTATAGTTCAAAATTCATTAGGTTCCCTTTCTGGCCTCTTTTACTATCAACACATATGCCTACTTTTGTACCATTATCATATTTTATTTTAATTATTGTTATTTTCCTGGTATAGGTGGTTACAGTCATCTTGAATCACACTTTAAAAAAAAATCATATATAAAATATGTATGTGTTACCTGGCTGACTTGACCAAGTAGCAAAAGAGCTTAGTAGGTAGAATATAAGGTAACTTGAAAAACGAAATAAGGAAGTCTGGAAGATGCCAGTCCAGTCGGGGAGGCCTTGGCTGGTAAGCCAAATGAAAGCAGGGTTTTCATAGAGGAAGCCAGTCTTGGGACAGAGGTAGGGTTTTAGAAAGGAGGAGGAGGAGAAGGAGGAGGACTGGTGAGTTTAGGAGATGCAATAGGAGAGTATCTGTGCAAGAAGAAAGCAAAGAGGCAAGATGCAAAGGAGAGGACAGTGTGCAAAGTCCCAGGAAAGAGAAGTGTGTCGTATAACCTACACAGTGCCAGCTAGCCTTGTGACTGGAAACAGATCCAGCTAAATCCCTTAGCACTCAAATAAGGAGGCTTTGCTTACACACAGCCAATGATGTGAGAGCTATTCAGTAAAACATGTATCACTACATTTAGTGCTAAGCTCTATTCTATTTTGCTTAAGTATTTAAATGCAAACTTTCTAATTCTTTTTATTGGCTGGATATGCAAGATATTATATTTTGCTCTAAAACTTTCCAACCGCTTTTAATTGGTTTCTCCAAATATTTTTCAATATATATTTCCATGAATTTTTTAAATTATTTACATCATTTCAAACTTACCTAGAGCCCCTTGATCATTATTTCAGCATGCTCAACCATTTTGGCGTTACTCCACATTTGAAATTATAATGTATGTTTCCCAATAGAATAACTGCTCCAATTACATCCTGACTCCTAACCTTTGTTTTACATTACCTAAGAGCACATAGTGTTACCTTCAGAGAGACATACTGCACTGGAAAGCTATGCTGAGCCTGATTTGTGAGTTTGCCTCACGGCCAATTTGTGCCACTTAAAGTAATCCAGTATGTGCCCTGGTAATTGAAATCCATCCATTACCATCACTCCAGCCCATTTAAATATTTCTTTTACAGAAGCAATTACGTCAGGAGGTGAGCCAAATGGTTTGGGAAAGACTTGGGCATTTCCAACAAGAAGGCTATTGGCTGCTCACCAAAAAGCTGGTTGGTTTTCACAATTCCTAGTCCAACTCTCTTCTCTGCAAGTTTCCCATTTAGGAGAACTGGCAACCTTTCTCCTCATTTTAGAATGTTCGGGACTTGGGCTGACCAATGCTCGTGGTGAGAACCACTGAGAAAAGGTTACCTTCGATTGCTACATTGCTTGATTTTTTTGCTACAAGAAATTATCCGCTTGTTTTTTGTCCTCAGCCCTAAATCAAGACTTCTCACATTATGCAAACAGTATTATATTTTTAAGAATAGCTTGAACCTCATAGATGCAATTTTAGTTTAAATGGAAGATCATCCCATAATCACAAGGTTGAAAAGAAAGCTTTTGGATATTAACAGGACTAGAAAATTTCTATGATAAAGCACCAATAATGCCTTTTTAATGTGCGTAGATGGATGTTTGTTTTGTATTTATGTACGAGAATGCTGCAGAACCACAGTATGTGAACTAAATAATTCAATGGAATGCATAGAGAACACTAATAATTCTATATTTTAATACGTGTTTTATGAAAAGCTTTTCATGTAATTCTCAAAACTGACTCATAAATCCATATTTGGATCATGCGATGGAGTTATATTTAACTCTAGAACTAGCCCTACATGCCAGGTTTCAAATCTGCTTCTAAGTAAATGTCCTTTTGGGGACTCATTATGACTATTCCTGTTTTTCCTCAAAACAAAACTATTATGGTTGTATATTTCCCTTTTCTCTTGACTTCTGACTGTCAGATTTACACCTCTTCTGATCCATGCTATCCTGGCCTGCAGCAGCAGCCTCACAGCCAAGGACAGGGAGCCCAAACCTGACAGAAGTTGCTGGAGAGTTAAAAGCTAACAAATGTTTTCTTATGGGATCCACTCAAGAGAAGGCCCAAAATAGTATTACAGATGAGGTTTACAATGGACTACTGGATGAATTATCAATAAATCACTGATTGAAATCCATGTTTAGTACTTAGACCAACTTTATTGAAGTACAGAAGAAGGTATACACAGAAAAAATCACACAGACAGATATACCCCAGTGCCTGTCCAAGGATGTAAGATGAGAGGGGTGAGGCCATGTTGGCAAAGCATGAAGGTTATGCAACAAGCAGGCTTATCATATGTAAGGTATTGTCATAACTGTCATTACAACTTCTGTGCTCCAGGAAGATCTACTTAGTAATCCTACTGAAAATGAATTAATTTCTTAGTTCAAATCCCCCCAAAGGAAGCTCCTTTATTGAAACACAAATTATCCTCCCAACAGAGTATTGAAATGCTTCAAGTGCCCTGACTTTACCAGAAAGACATGTGCTAACAGGAACTGAGTAGCTATTCTGTGCATAAATGGAATAAATGGAGCATCTATTTATCTGTTTATCTGATACCTTTCATGGGTACCGACATCTTTATTAAAATCATCCTTTAGTCTTTAGAAAAATAGAAGCTTAAATGCTCTATGGGTTTCACATTCCTGAGGACTATGACATTTAAAAACATAGTTAGCATTTTTTGCTCAACTTATAATAGGTAACAAACTACATCCCTACTGTGTACAATAGAGTGTGTGTGTGTGTTTGTGTGTGTGTGTGTGATGCAACATTAATAAGTGCAGAAATCTCAGTCCAAAACTCTAAGGTTATAACACTTACTGGCCTTGGGCAAGTTGTTTAATTTTAGGGCGCTTTAGCCACTAGTTGGAAATCCTAAAACTAACACATCTTTCAGAGTGCACCTTCTCTAATTCAGTTTTAAACAGTACTGGAAATATGGCCTAATCAAATGTCTTTACTTCTCAACAGAACAATAATAGACAAAGCATGAAACTTCACCTAAAATGCTAAAAATAAGCAGTTGAGTTCAAATAGTTGGGTCCAAGAGGATAATTTTTCTCAGTGCAGTCCATGAGCAGAATTCCTTTTAATATTAAAATCTTTATGAACTTGTGATATCGAAGGGCCCAGAGGCCACTTAAGGGAAAAAGCATCAACATAGAAAATTTCATCCAAAAAAACCAGATCCTTGGAGAAAGAAGCCAGTGGCCCAGGGTTTTGGGCTCTTTCCACCCCAAGACCAGAGCAGCAACCATCTTCACAAGGTCCTCTGGGCAGCCCCACATCAGGGATCTGCTGTCTGTGAAGCAAATGAGAGGGCTGGATTCTGCTTGAAGTTCCAAATTAACCTGCCTATTCCTTGTGAATCTAGGATACTTATAACCTGGCCTAAACGATTAATTATTGATCTCTTTTACTTTAGATTTTGTGAATCAAAATTAGTCTTTTGGTATTATTTGGAGAGATCATGTCTTTCCAAAAAAGTTTGTTCCAAAAGTAAGTTTTAAACATACATTCTTAAAACTTAAAAAATAATTCTCAATTTTAGATGGATACTTGTTCTGTGAACTATGGAGTAATTTAACTCTCAATTCCCAAAATGATGATTTGCTCTCCTCTTCTTTTTGGCAGCTTTAGGTAGAGAATGAGATACTGTGTTTGATCATTACACATGAGGTTTATTTATGAAGAAAACCCGCACTGTATTTTTTTTCTTTCTTCTGTCTTCTCATTCCAAGGCTGAACCTTAACACAAAGGTTGGAGTTTTGTAATCTCTCTCAACAGAAATTGCTCCAGATAATATTTGGAAAGATCATTTGAGAAATTGACCCTTTCTCAGAAAGCTGAAGTGGAATGAAAATATAAAGCTAAACTATTCAGGTCAGGGAAGAAAACATTTGGAACTCACTTTCAAAGGATAATTCTGATTTAGATATGAGGAATTGGCAACAACATAGATTAGGTGGAGAAGCTACAGCAAAATCAAGACTCTGTGAGTCAGGTGCACTGAACAACCAGGTGCAAAACAATAACACCCTCTCATGTGCTTGATCTGGGCCATGGCAGGCACCTGTAAGGGAGATGAATGCATTGTAAATATTCTTCCCCATTCATTCACTCACTCACTCACTCATTTATTCTTTCATATATTTTTCCATCTATAGATTCATTTATCCAGTCATATGCGGACTATACATGGTATACCGCAGACACAGAGAGAAATATATGACAGTTTTCATCTTTAATGAATGCACAGTCTAGATCAAGTTATGTAAGTCAATAATTATGGTACAGAGAGGTGAGTGCAATTAGAAAGAAAGCTACAGAGTGATAAAGTAGTAGAGAAGAGAATTGCTTAATTCAACTTAGAGGAAAGAAGATTCGAAACAAATCTTAAAGACTGAGTTGGTGTGAACAGGCAGACCGAGTTGGGCAAAATGAGAATTCCAAATAGTGGAAACACTTGGGCATTTCAGACCATAATATCTGATGTGAATAATCATATCATTCAATATGGCTATAGGCTCCTTTGATTCTAATAACATGAAATATATTAGCATGTGGGGAGATGTGGCTTCAGAAGTGGAGAAAGGCCATATCCTGGAAAGATTTCTGTCATTCTAAATAGTGTTCACTTGGTACTGAAGGTAATAGTGGACTCCAGAAACATTTTAAGCAAAGCGATGGCATGACTAGATATGTATCTTCACTCTTAAGTGTTTTATGGTTATATATTATATACTATAATGTGTAATAATTTTGTAATAATGATTAATATATAGTAGTTTTTATATATGTTTTAAATTTTTGAATAATTTTTGAAATTTCAGTTTTTGAATTTAGTACTCACATTTTCAAAAATCAAAAAAATCAAAAAGGCATATGATAAATTATCTCATATTCATTCCTGCCCCAAAACATCCATCTCAAATGCCCCTAATGAACAGATAGTCACTTTCATTAGTTGCTTAAAAATGCAAAAATATAAATATATTTCTCATTTCCCTTTTTTCTTACATAAAACATAACATACTCTATTACAAGTTCTACACCTTGCTTTTTTCTCTACTTAATAATAGATCTTGGAGATTTTTCCCTGTCAGTACATAGAAAGCTTCCTCAATCTTTTATAACTACCTAGCATTTATAAATGAATACTCTCATTGGAATGTAAAAGAAAGATTGGGGAAAGGGAAAGCTGTGGGAATCTAGGCAAAAAATGATAAGACCCCTGAAAAAAACAATAGAGCTGAGAGCCTGGAGGAATACTAAGAAGCTAGAATCCACAAAATTGGGGGATAAATCGGAGAGGAGATGCGGTCAAGAAAATAATCAAAAATGACTCTAGGGTTATGGCCAGGGCAATTTGTGAAGGAGGGTTAGGTGATGGAGCACTGGCTGAGAGAAAGGAAGCATTGGAGGAGCAGATTGGGATAGGAAAGACTGGAGGGAGAGGACGAGTTGAGTTTTCAACATGTAGTTTCCTGGGCCGTTTGTGTATCCAGGTGAAGGTGTCCAGTAGTAAGTATAAAGCTCAGGAAAGAGGTGAGAGGTGGAGAGTTTGGAATCACTGGAGTATGGATAATGATTAAAGCCTTGGATATAGATGAAATCATCCAGCGAGAATATAGAACAAGATAATAAAAGCAGGTGATGATAGAATTCCCCTGCATTTAAGAGGCAGCTGGAGGAAGAAGAATAAATATTACTTGATGTTAGAGATTAGAATAGCTTTTGTTATACTTTGTCCTTTGGAGGTGTTCAACACACAAGCATACATGCACACACACACACACACGTTCAGGCCCACAGTCAAAAGTCTTGGACATTCCCAACATGTATTACCATATTAAAGGCTAGTAACATCTTTGGAGTTCATTTTTGACAAATATGACGTGTATGTGTTTAGATAAGATCTGGAAAGCACTGCCTTTCAATCTGGAAAAGACAATCCCAGCCCTGAGCTCTGTGCTTTGAAGGAACTGACCTTGGCCTTTCTCTAACTTTTCCTTTCCCCATAGAATGAAAAGTCCATAGAACCAGAAGAACACATCCACTAGGAGCCTGGCCCACCCCAGCCTCACATCCAGACCATACTCTGGGTATCTGGGATCCTGTAATTTTCTGTCTTCGTGGCCCTCTCTGCACCCAGCGCCTGTGTGGCCTTTTCCCTACTCTGTTCTCCTGAGGGGAGGCTGTGCCCATTCTCTGGTTTTCATCTTGGTAGGCTCAATCCATGGTCAAGAGGTAGCTGTTTATGGGACACGTGGAAGAAGCAAGGAAGAGTGAACCGGGGTATCCTCACAGAAATGCCTGCGGATCTTCATGGCGTGGGTGGGAGCTGGGAATTGGAGAAGAAAACTGACAGACCAAGGGCCAGAGGCTGCAGCCAGCTCTCCCCACCCACCACATCATGCAAAGTGTCTGAGAATGCCAAATTCATACAGCCATTGCAAATGTAGATTTGTCAAATTAGAAGACAGTATATATTTAATTTAGCAGTGTATTAGTCTGATTTGTAGCTTGTAAACATCTAGACATATGGTATATGGGCCTCCATGTGTATTCTTGAGCTGGCCCCAAAAGTTTATGGCTTGGCTAGGAAGAAATAATTAGCAGCCAATAAGGAAGGGTGGAGTAACACTTATAGGAAGAAAACACTTTTAAGTACATTTGAAGAAAAGTTGATTATTCAGCCATTAGCACATGTTCTTGTTCCCAGAGCCATGGGTTCTGCATTAGCTCCTTTGATCCTAATAACATTTGACTTTACACAAGAGTAAACAGAGATTCAGGGAGATCAGTGAGTTCACACAGTTAGTAGTTGCTGGGGATTAGTTCTCAGGAATACTCAACTTCCAAACCAGTATTATTTCTACCATGTTCTGCTGCCTTAAGCTTAAGAATGCCAAAGCCCTTTTTTTTCTTTTACAAAATGACATGAAGCATCTCACTAAGATAAATGTATGGTCTTAAACTCATGTGGTAGATTTGAAATTCATGATGCCGTCTTGAAAAGTGACCCACTATGTCATCTTGTGTATCATCTGCTGAGGTATATCCAGTTTGGAAATAAGCAACTAAGCTCTAGGTCATTTCTTAGATACAACTTTCTCACCAGAAAATATACACCCTAGTACACCATGAAAATCACTCTTTACCATTGACATTATGGGTGAGCAGTCAGTTACTTATTATTGCTGTCATTCCACTTAGTCCATATTTAGAAAAAAGAAAACTGTATATAGTATTAATATATAGACTCAAGGAAACCTAAAACTGTGCAATATAAAACTTAACATACGGTGTATTTATACCAGAAAAGGGTGATTTGGGTGCCATCATGAGATGGTGTTGACTCCATGGAATGTTAATGATAAATTTTTAAATGCATTGTATATATAAGAAACAATTCATTACAATGGGTTTATAGGTTTGAAGGGTTTATAAATCATATTTCAGAAGACAAAATGCCAGTACTTGAGTTCATGCCTGAGTAACTCCCTGATTTGGCTGGATTGGAGAACAAGAGATCATGCCCACCTAGTTTCACCTGAGATCATTATTTTCATGTGGAAATATTTGAAAATGAAAAAGTTATTTAGTAAAAAAAAAATTAAGGAAATTTATGTAATATAAACAAGGGCAAGTTAGCATGGTACCAAAAAAAGAAGCTTCTAGAAGTTACATATTTAATGCAGACATTAGCTCATCTTAGCTACAACACCAGCTGAGAACTCCTTTCACTGTCCCTGCAGCATTAGAAAAAAGGACACCACCACATCTAGATGTCCCGCATGTGAACTGGGCAACTAAGCCTCAGTAACTAACCACCACAAGTTACTCAGGGCCACAGGAGCAGAAGCCCAATGTATCTTTGATTTGCCTGGGGCCCAAGATCCCCTGGGAGAGGTCTTGAACTGCCATAGGGTTCAGGTTTAGACTGATGTGTGTGAAACAATGCCCCTTGCCTTCCAGGGAGGGAAACATGGAACACTGGAAGTAAACAGAGAGCATTGCCTGACTCTCATACTTAATGTCAGAGGGTCCCAGCCCTCTGTGTGGTCATCTTTGACCCAATACCCCTCATCCCTGGAGCCCCTGAGTGCTCTGCTAGATGTCAATGAGTTTGTGTCACTCGGACCCAAACAACTGTGGTGTGGGAGCCTGCTGTGAAAGACCTGGTTACAGACAATGTGAGAACCTTTGGGCCAGAGGAGAATGGCAGCAGTGACACCATAGTCAGAAACAGCAGTGTGACCACAGGATGGTGGTGGAGTGATGGCCACACATGGCCTCTGGCACTGGAGCTTCCATCATAAGCTTCCCTTCTGGGACTCCTAGGGCAAGTAGACTTGACTTACACCAACAGGGTGGCCTAGGGGACACTCGATTCCTGAATAAGCACTTCTAAGGCTTCTCAGAGATATTGAGTGAGGAGAAGCTGCAGGAAGTCAGGACCTATCTATGACTAGTAGGCAGGCTCAGAGCATCAAGATGTAGTAGAAAGAGAATATATTGGCCTGGAACAGTGGCTCACGCCTGTAATCCCAGCACTTTGGGAGGCTGAGGTGGGCAGATCATGAAGTCAGCAGTTCAAGACCAGCCTGGCCAACATGGTGAAACGCCGTCTCTACTAAAAATACAAAAATTAGCCGGGCATGGTGGTGCGCGCCTATAATCCCAGCTACTCAGGAGGCCGAGGCAGGAGTATTGCTGGAACCCGGGAGGCAGAGGTTGCAGTGAGCTGAGATCACGCCATTACACTCCAGCCTGAGTGACAGAGTGAGATTTCATTTAAAAAAAAAAAGAATATATTCATCAACTGGAGAAGCCAGGAGCACACATAACATTACACAATATATTTACACACGTTACATAGCATATAGACATGCATATCATGTAGTATACAGAATATTAAGGTGCAATTTTGCCATCCGATCTCTTAGTACTCAAATGAAAGTTATAATTGCCCTTAAAGCATGTCCTTCATTTAATTTTAAATGCCACTTTAGGGTAAATAGATACTATATGTGTTATACTATATGCATATCGGAAATACAGTCATTTAACATATTTATTAAATGCTTTAATGTGTCGGGCACTATACAAGGCAGTGGGTAAGTCAGATGTGATCCCTAACCTTGTGTATCCTATAACCAAGATCCACTCTAAGGCCGGACACGGTGGCTCACACCTGTAATCCCAGCACTTTCGGAGGCCAAGGCAGGTGGAACACAAGGTCAAGAGATCGAGGCCTTCCTGGCCAACATGGTGAAACCCCATCTCTACTGAAAATACAAAAATTAGCTGGGCCTGGTGGCGGGCACCTGTAATCCCAGCTACTTGGGAGGCTGAGGCAGGAGAATCGCTTGAACCCAGGAGGCAGAGGTTGCAGTGAGCGGAGATCACGCCACTGCACTCCAGCTTGGCAACAGAGTGAGACTCTGTCTCAAAAAAAAAAAAAAAACTCCACTCCAAATGAGGTTAGCACTCAAAATGTTTCAGTGAAATCTTAAGTCTAAAGCATGCTGGTTTCTACCTATTTATTTAATACATGGAAAATGAGATATTTTAAATTTTTACTTCAGTAAAATATAGCATATCAATGGTAAGAAAAGGGCCAGCCTTATGGACTTGTGACCTGTGCCCCCAACCTAGAAAGGCCCCATTCTTGATTTAGCGCTCTGCTGTCATCATCTTCAAATCTGTAATAATTTTTGAACAAGAAAATCCCAAATTTTAATTTTGCACTGGACCCTGCAAATTATGTAGCAAGTTTTGAGTCAGAACAGTTTTTTGCCCTGTGTATAGACAGCGTGTTGCTCATGTAAATGGGCAGGGTTGACAGATTTAGCAAACAAACATACAGGACACCCAGTTTCAGGATAGGTATCAAATACTCCACGGGAATATTTATAATCATATCCCACTACTGCATGGGCCATATCTGTGCCAAAATGTCATCCATTCTTTATCTGAAATTCAAGTGTAACTGGCTGTTCTGTATGTGATCTGGTCAGCCTTCTCAAAGAGAGAGCATCTGGTCCCAGGGTAATGACTAATACACACTATTCTGCTTTCCAAAGTATCTTAGTTTGTCAATCAACTTCATGGTTTCTAGACAAAGGGCTTAAAAAGAAGCTGGATGTATATGGATTATCTGTGGCCCAGAGTACTTGGAGAACTCTTGAAAGTGAACTTCTTGCACTCTTCCTTTTAGAGAGAAGAGCAGCTGCGAAAGTCTCAGAATGGTAGCAAGAGAGGGGTGGGCGGTTAAATATGAGGGTCTTATGAGAGTTAGATGAACTTCCTGGATTTTATAATTTTAAAATTATTTTCAATGTGAGATTACACCAAAAATTGGCATCACATGTCCCACCTAATGGCTCACAGATAAGTTTTGAGGAAGCTTTCGTTGAATGGACAAAGTCAAGAAATGGAAGAGAATGTGAAAGACACTGCAGCATCCCAAACCAGCTAAGTCGTAGAGAGTGTGTGCCAAAAATCTTTGCTGTGGAATTTTTAATTTCACTTTCTTTTGGACTAATTTGTATATTTATTTAAATTCCCTGTACAGTTTTTCCTTTAGATAGTGAAATTGTTTGAATATGGCCCAATGGTGGTTGTTAATAAATGTCAACTCATAGACCACTGACCCAATTCTTAATCCTTTATGTCCTAACATCTATCCCTACCATTTTCCTAAAGCTGTTCTCCTAAAATCCCCAACTTTCTTTTATCTTCCAAATCGAGCAATATGTTTTCAATCTTGGTGTTATCTCTCCTTTAGCTTCCATGACACTTGCTTATACTGATTGCTTTCCTAATTTCTAGCTCCTCTACCCTTGTCTGACTCCACGTTGCCTTCACTATCCTTAAATACTGGCAATCCACAGGCTCTGGCTTGGTCTTATTGTCTGTTGTTTGTTTGTTTTATTTGTACTGTCCTCTCCCTCTGTAATCTCATCCTTCTCATAGCTTCCACACCTATGCGCTGGTGTGCTGGAGCTGACTCGTATCAGCTCCCAAGTGCTGCTTGTTAGCATCTCTTCCCAATTTCACGTTCAGTGGGCTCATGTGGGAGTAGAAAATCAGTGAACTCAGCTGGGTGCGGTGGTTCACACCTGTAATCCCAACACATTGGGAGGCCGAGGTGGGTGGATCACCAGAGGTCAGGAGTTCAAGACCAGCCTGCCCGACATGGTGAAACCCCGTCTCTACTAAAAATACAAAAAATTAGTCTGGCGTGGTGGTGGGTGCCTGTAATCCCAGCTACTTGGGAGGCTGAGGCAGGAGAATCGCTTGAACCCAGGAGGCAGAGGTTGCAGTGAGCTGAGATCGCGCCACTGCACTCTAGCCTGGGCAACAAGAGTGAAACTCCGTCTCAAAAAAATAAAAAAATAAAAAAAAAGAAAGGAAAGAAAATCAGTGAACTCTGCAAATCCAACTCCCCTTCTCCCTCACCCCAATAACTGGTAATTTAACATTTTATATGATGCCACTGCCCATACTGGTATTCAAGGCCTTTTACACCCTAGTTCCAGCCGATCCTGAAGCTTGATCATCAAACTTCTCCCTTCATGTGTCTTCTCCTCTAATCAAAGGAGACCACACTGTACCTATCCCAATGACTATAAGCCATCGGCCACACTGTACCTATCCCAATGACTATAAGCCATCGGCCACACTGTACCTATCCCAATATCTATAAGCCATCAAGCATGCTGGACCTATTTCAATGACTATAAGCCATCCCACCACTCTGCCTTTGTTCATGCCATCTTCTTCAGTCTTCTCCGTAATATCTTCCTTCTAGCCCCAGCCTTGCTTTCTGACTTTCTGTTTCAATTTTGGAACTTCTTGTCTGATGTTTATTACATTCCAACTTGCATCAGAGTTAGGTGTATGTTTGTTGTTTCTCCTTCTCAAAGTCAAAAGTACATCAAATCATGACCCAAATATTTGTGTCTGTCTGGTTTTTTAAAATATGTATTTATTTATTTATTTATTGAGATAGAGTCTCACTCCATCACCTAGGCTTAAGTGCAGCAGCACATTCATAGCTCACTGCAACCTCAAATTCCTGAGCTCAAGCAATCTTCCCATCTCAGTCTCCCAAATAGCTGGGACTACAGGCACATGCCACCAATGCCTAGCTAATTTTTTAATTTTTTTGTAGAGATGGAATCTTGCTATGTTTTCAGGGCGGTCTCAAACTTCTGGCCTCAAGGCATCCTACCACCTCAGCCTCCCGATGTCCTGGGATTATAAGCATGAGCCGCCAGTGCCTGGCTAGTTTTTTAAAAATATAATGTTTGTCTCCTACTATCTCTAGGCCACTAACTTAACGCGTTCACACATCAGGTTTTTCAAAAGACAGGTTTTTCGAATCACTGAATTTATTCAAATGAAAAAAAGTCCGACCTGATAGAGTGCCTTTACAGGATACAAAAATGATTTAGATCCAGTACATTGGCTCATGCCTGTAATCTCAGCACTTTGGGAGGCCGAAGTGGGCAAATCATGAGGTCAGGAGTTCGAGACCAGCCTGATCAACATGGTGAAACCCTGTCTCTACTAAAAATACAAAAAATTAGCCAGGTGTGGTGGCGTGTGGCTGTAATCCCAGCTACTCAGGAGGCTGAGGCAGGAGAATCACTTGAACCTGGGAGGCAGAGGTTACAGTGAGCTGAGATGGCACCATTGCACTCTAGCCTGGGGGACAGAGCAAGACTCTGTCTTTAAAAAAAAAAAAAAAAAAAAAAGGAAAATAATTTAGTTTTTTTAAATTTTTTATTTTTAATTCAATAGTTTTGGGGAACAGGTGGTTTTTGGTTACATGGATAAGTGTTTTAGTGGTGATTTCTGAGATTTTGGTGCACTTATTACCCAAGCAGTGTACACTGTACTCAATATGTAGTGTTTTATCCCTTGCCCCCTCCCACTCTTCCCACTGAGTCTCCACAGTTCATTATATCATTCTTATACCTTTGCATCCTCATAGCTTAGCTCTCACTTATAAATGTCTGGTTTTCCATTCCTGAGTTACTTCACTTAGAATAATGGTCTCCAACTCCATCCACGTTGCTGTGAATGCCATTATTTCATTCTTTTTTTATGTCTGAGTGCATTCCATGGTCTATATATACCACGTTCTCTTTATCCACTTGTTGGTTGATAGGCATTTAGGCTGGTTCCATATTTTTGCAATTGCTAATTGTGCTGCTATAAACATGTGTGTGCAGGTGTCTTTTTCATACAATGACTTATTTTCCTCTGGGTAGATACCCAGTAGTGGGATTGCTGGATCAAATGGTGGTTCTACTTTCAGTTCTTTAAGGAATCTTTATACTGTTTTCCATAGCGGTTGTACTAGTTTACATTCCCACCAGCAGTGTAAAAGTGTCCCCTTTTCACCACAACCATGCCAACATCTATTATTTTTTAATTTTTAAATTATGGTCATTCTTGGAGGTGGTAGCTCATTGTGGTTTTAATTTGTATTTCCCTGATACCTAGTGATTTTTAGCATTTTTTTCACATGTTTGCTGGCCATTTGTATATCTTCTTTTGAGAATTGTCTATTCATGTCCTTAGCCCACTTTTGATGGGAGTATTTGGTTTTTTCTTGCTAATTTGTTTGAGCTCCTTGTAGATTCTGGATATTAATCTCTTGTCAGGTGCAGAGTTTGCAAATATTTTTCTCCCACTCTGTGGGTTATCTGTGAACTCTGCTGATTATTCCTTTTGCTGTGCAAAAGCTTTTAAGTTTAACTAGGTACCATCTATGTATCTGTTTTGTTGTATTTGCTTTTGGGTTCTTGGTCATAGACTTTTTGCCTAAGCCAATATCTAGAAGAATTTTTCTGATGTTATCTTCTAGAATTGTTATGGTTTCAGGCCTTAAATTTAAGTCTTTGATCCATCTTGAGTTGATTTTTGTATAAGGTGAGAGTTGAGGAACCAGTTTCATTCTTTGACATGTGGCTTGCCAATTATCTCAGCAGCATTTGTTGAATAAATGTCTTTTCTCCGCTTTATGTTTTTGTTTGCTTTGCCGAAGGTCAGTTGACTGTAAGTATTTGGCTTTATTTAGGGGTTCTCTGTTCTATTCCATTGGTCTATGTGCCTATTTTTTATACCAGTACCATACTGTTTGGTAACTACAGCCTTGTCATATAGTTTGAGGTCGGCTAATGTGATGTCTCCAGATTTGTTCTTTTTGCTTAGTTTTGCTTTGGCTATGAGGGCTCTTTTTTGATTCCATATGAATTTTAGGATTGTTTTTTCTAGTTCTGTGAAGAATTGTGATGATATTTTGATGGGAATTGCATTGAATCTGTAGATTGCTTTTGGCAATATGGTCATTTTCACAGTATTGCCTTTGAATCTCTTTGATTGCATACGTCTGAGAGTGATGCCAAGATACTCTTTAAAAAACTATGCCTTGGTTTTATTAAGAACCAAACACTTTTTAAAATATGAATGGGAATAGAAGAATCCTTCTTAGCTGCAAAAAAAAAAAAAAAAAGAATATGGGAAGTCATTACCCACTCACATTAGATCATAGCTAACATATCACATTGAAATTGCTTTCAACAAACACTGAGTTCCTTCTCTATGGAAGACACAATATCATGTGCTACACCTCATAAAATAGTTTGAATTACCAGAAAATAGAATCCCTTCCTCAATTTTTGTGTGCTAATGGCATTGAAAACAAAAAGGGTGATTCATGTAGAGTAATTCATATTAAAATTTAAAATGCATTAAAATTAAATAAAGGGCATACTTCAAGAGCACATATAATTTACATTTGGGTAATGAGCGAACAGATACTTCCTTTTCTGAATTTTCCCTTGATGTGCCATGAGCAATGTCAACTCTTGATGCCTTCAGCTTTTAAATGGAGTGCTGTGATAGAAGTAGAATTTTAAAACCCATTTGCTTGGGCTTTTTCTCTCCAAAAAAAAAAAAAGTCTTCACTGTATGTTTCTTTATCTATATCTTTTTTTTTTTTTTTTTTTTTTTTTCGGAGATGGAGTCTTGCTCTGCTGCCAGGCTGGAGTGCAGTGACGTGAGTTCAGCTCACTGCAACCACTGGGAACTCCACCTCCCAGGTTCAAGGGATTGTCCTGCCTAAGCCTCCTGAGTAGCTGGGACTACAGGTGTGCACCACCACACACAAATTTGTGTATTTTTAGTAGAGACAGGGTTCCACCATGTTGGCCGGGATGGTCTCGATCTCTTGACCTCATGATCCACCCACCTTGGCCTCCCAAAGTGCTGGGATTACAGGTGTGAGCCACCATGCCTGGCCCTCCTTATTTATATCTTGATAGCTTCCTCCACTTAATGTTACTGTTCCTAATAGTGGTTGGGGTGTGTGTGTGTGTGTGTGTGTGTGTGTGTGTGTGTGTGTGTTTGGGCTAGGAAATGTAGAGTGGAGCATTGTGGTAATTTCTGAGCTGTTACACTGTCATATCACGCACACATGCAAAAGAGGATTTCATTAAGATATGGAGCATTCCACACATTAATGAGACCCAACTTAATTCCATGGAAGTGGTGTGTGATGGTAAACACAGGAAACCTAGGATTTCTTATAAGCTAATGTTTCACACTGTGCAGAGAGCAGCTGTCAGTCTGGGCATTTATATTTTAGCAATCCTCTTGGACAAGACTTTTAAACTACAACCAAGATGCAGGTGGCAGGATGCAGGAGACATGGCCTTCAGGGGAAATTTACTCTGCAATTTCTCAGCAGGGCTGGACTCTACTCAGTAATTATTCCAGCTCTGGGGAAATCCTAGATCTTGACAATTCTCCAGGAAAAGGAGGTGGGTGGAGCAACAATGCTCTTCCGCCCCCAGAAATGCCTGGTAACTTGGAATCATTGGAGAGTGCCCAGCTTGTTCTGGGAAAGAACATATATCCTAGCTAGAGTTAGTTCTTCCACTAGCAGTAAGACAGCCCTTCCCCTATCTTAGCCACGTCAGCAGTTTCCAAAAATCTGTCTTGGGAAGACAATAGTGCTAGTGCCACAGCTACCCATATAGCACCTTTATACAAACACACAAAAGGCACCCCTCTGGGCCAGTGTAGCCTCACCTCAGGGTGTATGGCCCAGTGAGCATGGTGCACACGGGATTTTAGCCCCAGCCTGCTACCTTCTCCACTGGGTGCCCTTGTGTGAGGCACAGCCTACAGGTACAGTAGCTCTGACTTATACTCTTCACTTGCTGTTCTCATTCAAATATTATAAACAAAACAGCAACCATCGGGTGTTTCAGGCTTAATATTTGCAATCTTCAGCAACACCTTGATAACAGTCCATTAAGTGAGATCTGCTGATAGTAAGCCCCCTGATTAAACCTTTGGCTTCCCAGTTTGCCATATCCTGTCTGCTTCAGACACATCATTACCCAGGTTATAAGCTGATGTGTCCAAGATAAAGCCTGACTTTAAGATGACTCTCACAGTGGTTTATTTGTAAGACACGTCAGAAAATTTCAAATTATTTTAAGCCTGTCTTGCATGACTTCATGTTGCAATCCTTACCTGTTATAATCTTCAAGTCATGAAATAACTTTGCAAAAGAATTGTTCATGTACTGTAACACAATTCTAGAGAATTTCTCCTGAGGTTCGTCGAGGTTACAAGAAATTTTTTAAAAAGGGTGGCAGCACTATGCTGAAAATATGTTCCCTTTTAGCTAAGCCACCAACATAAACCATATGTCACTCGTTTCTCTGTGGAAGAAGTGTCCTTTGCAAGGGCAGCCTTGAAGGCACAGGGAGCACAGACGGTCTCTCTCCTCACAGGAGAGAAAAGAGTACCAGGTTGCTGACTAGAAAGGGTTAAACAAGCAGTGGAGAAATGGAAACAGATAAGAACGATTCTTGTCATTTCTTTGCTGCATCCTTGCCTAGCACTGTGCCTAGGACAGAATAGGTGCTCAATGAATGTTTACTACATGATTAATTAATCATCGATTACCATTGCACAATGACCTTGGGACATATGCCACCATCCAGACTCAGTTTATTTATATGTGGAAAATCAATCCAGGGTTTTTAGCTCAGTTTTGGTTCATGCCTTGAGAGACCAAGATTACTGGCTTAATTTTACACATTCCAAAATGGATTCTATTTTTCTCACTTTTAGACACAGTGAACATGACTATGATCACGTGTGCGTCAACTGCATAAGCATATCCTGACAGGTTTGAAAAAATAATAGCTATTTAATTTACAAAGAATGTTGCTATTATTAAGGACATGTCAGTTCCAATGGATTAGGGCAGATCATCACATTTTACAAACTGCCAACATGTAGTGACACTTTCCTCTATAGGATGAGTTTCATCAGATTGAAGTGCTGGTTTCTGGTTTATAATTCAATCCATTTCGCTGACTCACAGAGGGTGGAGTAAAATGACAACGTCCTTTGGTCCTTCAGTCAGAGTTTTTCTTATTACTGGGTGATTATGCATTTATCTTCTTACCACATGAGGTGCTGTGTAAAACCATGGTCAATAATTACCACCCTGAAACTGACTTTTATGTACCCTAGAACTGCCCTCACATAAACACGTTGGATCAGAGAAAACAAATGAAACATAAGACTGTCATTAAACCAAGAAAGTTTGGAGGGACAGGAAGAAAGAAAAATACCATGGCTGTGCCAGCACAAACGTTGCCCAACAAGAGACTTCAATAGCCAGCCACCTTCACTGTCAGGTACATTATGCACAGCTACAGTTACTGCCTGTTGTAAAGGGAAGAAAACACTGGCCAGATACAGCATAACAAAGCTTGCATTGTACACACAAGTATATAGGATATAAATATGGAAAACCAAATGCTATCTCTGTTGAAAGAAAATAGGAGGCCTTTAGTGCGGGCAACTGTCTGAACCGGGAAATTAGGTTTAGACTTAAACCTTCCTCTCTCTCCCACACTCCTACTTTTTGAGGAGTTGGTGTTCTCTGATACTTTTGGCCAAATGTGTACAGACAGCTGTTGAAGTGTGATAAGGGATTTATGCCCTTCTAGAGTAGGCATAAAGGACTCCAGAGAACCTGGGGTTGTGTGACAGTTCAGAAACTACCAGTAGATACAATGACAATGAAATTATAAACTCCCTGTAGTGCTTTTTATGTTTAATATATGTTCCTTTCTAGCTAAGCCCATTTAAAATTAGGAACAATAGACCTTTGCCAAACGCTTTGGTAGTACTGCCTCTGTGTGCTGTGCCAATGACAGCCCTTACCTCCTCCCTAAAAGCAAAAACAGTCCAGACGTTGACAGTCATCACTTCCTCCCTTTTCTTCATGGTTTATGCCCTAAATGTACATCCTTATATACAATAGTACAGTATTTATTTAAAATACTTAAAAATAAATGTCTTTGAGGGCTCTCAAATTACAGCTTCCCCCCTCCCCCTTTTTTGCTTTTTGCAATTTGAAGAAATTGAGTGATTTGGCCTGTGAAGTTTCCTGTAGACTGGATTTTGGTGATGTAATCCCTCTAAGGTAATTCCAGCTTTTTTTTTCCTGGTCTCTAATTTTCTGAGGCTTGATTCTATTTAGGTTTATTCTTTTTTTTTCCGAAATAAGTTTATGGGTGGCAATGTGTTTTTGCATTGGGAGGCACTTAAAAAAAATTAGGGGCCAGGCGTGGTGGCTCACACCTGTAATCCCAGCACTTTGGGAGTCCAAGGCAGGTGGATCTTCTGAGGTTGGGGGTTCAAGACCAGCCTGACCAACATGGAGAAACCCCGTCTCTACTAAAAATATGAAAATAGCCAGGAGTGGTGGCACGTGCCTGTAATCCCAGCTACTCAGGAAGGCTGAGGCAGGAGAATCGCTTGAACCGGGGAGGCGGAGGTTGCAGTGAGACAAAGTTGCGCGCCACTGCACTTCAGCCTGGGCAACAAGAGCGAAACTCCGTCTCAAAAAAAAAAAAAAAAAAAAAATTAAAAACAGTTTAATTTAGGAAAGATTGATTTTTAATAGATTTCCCATTTAATATTTGAATAAACAAAGTGCAGTTGGCCCTCTGTATCCATGGGTTCCACATCTATGGATTCAGTTTGCTGTGGATTAAGAATATTCAGAAAAAAAAAAAAGAAAATAACAATAATAAAAACAATGCAAATGAAAACATACAGTATAACAACTATTTACTTAGCATCTACATTGTATTATAAATAATCATAAGTAATCAAGTATCATACGTAATCTAGAGATGATTTAAAGTATATGGGAGGATGTGCATAGCTTATATGCAAATACTGCACTCCATTTTATATATGTGACTTGAGCATCCACAGATTTTGGTATCTATGGTGGGGTGGGGAGTGCCCGGGAACAAATTCCCTACAGGCACTAAGGGATGACAGTATAGCCAATTCTTGAGTATCTGTGTCAATAAAGGAAAATGGTAGCATACTGATGGAAAAGAAAAACAATCAATGAATCCTGAATATTTCTCCTTGAAAAGTGTTTCTGTATTTACATTTTACTGTAGGTATGCCTCAATCCTGGAGATTTGAAATATTTAAACAAATTAATGAAGCCCTAATTCTGGAGAAGGTGGAGGACAAGCCATCTCCCCCATTCCATTAGCTGCACAACTCCTCCCCACCCCTCACTTTGTGCAAAAAACTGACAGTGTTGACAGTCAACACTGCACAGCATGGATAATGAAAACATGGCACATATACACAATGGAATACTATTTAGCCATAAAAAGAATGGAATCCTGTCTTTTACGGCAACATAGATGAACCTGGAGCCATATTATGCCAAGTGAAATAAGCCAGGCAGAGAAAGACAAATACCACATGATCTCACTCATATGTGGAATCTAAAAAGGTGTTCTTATAGAAGTAAGAGTAAAATAATGGTTACCAAAGGATGGGGAGGGAAGTGGAAAAGCCGGATAGAGAAAGATTGGGTGCAAAACTCAGGTCAGATATAAGTTTTGCTGTTCTATTGCATAGTAGGATGATGACTGGAATTAACAGTAATGTTGTTATGGATTTTAAAATAGCTAGAAGAGAGGTTTTAAAATGTTCTTATCACGAAGGAATGATAAATATTTAAGGTGATGGATATGGCAATTATCCTGATTTGCTTATTACACAGCATATACATATATCAGAACATCATGCTATTCCCCATAAATATGTACAATTATTATAGGTCAATCTTAAATAAATATTTTTATAATTTTAAAAATTAAAAAAACCCTACTGCACATGCATTAGCCTGAGCAAAACCAAATGAGAAAATGGTGTAGGCAATCACGAACAAAACATTACTTATCCATATATATAGGATAAGAGTTACACATACACACCATAACAAGAGCGTTCTCTTTTACAGAAGCAGAAGCTCCCTCTTAGCAATTCTTTTTCACCCTGGGCATGGAGGAGCAGAAGGAATGTAATTTCTCCTATGACATACTCCTACTTCAGTTATTCTAACTTAAGCCTTGTTGAGCTTCATTTTGATAAGCAATAAAATATGAAGGTGACAAATCTGCCTTATTTATGTTCATCTTGATTTTCCTTAATCCTAAAGGAGCCTCCTCCAGAAATTTGAACCTAATAGCTTTGCAAAAATATTATGTACAAATCCAGACATTTTGCTCATTAGTTCAAAGAAGCATTTCTTTCCAGTGCTTTCGTTCAGAATATTAGTTCTAAGAGCTGTTGGTCGAGCCCCTATGACATTAAGTTTTTCAAGCTAAGTCATCTCGGAAGGAATTCCTTCTGTATGACCTTCTCGGAATTTCTTGATGAACAGTGTCATATGAAAGGCTTGTGAAAGTATTATCATAAAGAAACTTCTTTGTTGTACTCATGGTTTTCCAAAATTCTTTAACAATGAAATCTTTTTGAGGAATATCTACAAGCATCTTGTAGAACTTATATTGACAAAACATATTTTTGGAATCTTCTGTTGTTTAAATAAAAATAAGAGTGGGAAAACTATTATCTGTATGTAAGAGGAAAAAAACCCAAACAAAAAGTACGAGATTTTAATAATACTTCAATACTTTGTATTGAAAACTAACTTTGCAAGTTAGTAGAAGAGTAGAAGATCAAGCAATATTATGGCTATAGTCTTACATGAAAATTGATTATATATCTTCATATACTTTATTTTTATTGGTTACTCATTTACATTCTTCTTAGAATGATAATATGATAGTAATAGTTTTCCTTTTTTAAGAAACACTATTTGGATTTAACATATTGCGTATGAATTGTACTTAAAAATTAAGAAACTATAATGTTGAATGTAATTTATGAGGCTGTGAATTATATACCAAGCCAGATTTGTTCTAACTTTCATTTTAAGTTCAAAGGTATATGTGCAGGTTTGTTACATAGGTCAACTTGTGTCATGGGGGTTTGTTGTACAGATTATTTCATCACCCAGGTATTTAGCTTAGTACCCATTAGTTATTTTTCCTGATCCTCTCCCTGCTCCCATCCTCCACCCTCCAATAGGCCCCAGTATGTGTTGTTCCCCTCTATGTGTCCATGTGTTCTCATCATTTAGTTACTACATATGAGTAAGAATATGCTGTATTTGGCTTTCTGTTCCTGTGTTAGTTTGCTAAGGAGAATGGCCTTCAGCTCCATTCATGGTCATCAAAAGACATGATCTCATTCCTTTTATAGCTGCATAGTATTCCATGGTATATATGTACCACATTTTCTTTATCAGTCTACATTGATGGGCATTTAGGTTGATTCCATGTCTTTGCTATTGTGAATAGTGTTGTGATGAACATCCACATGCATGTGTCTTTATGGTAGATTGATTTATATCCTTTGGGTATATAGCCAATAATGGTGTTGCTGGGTTAAATGGTAATTCTGTTTTAAGTTCTTTGAGAAATTGCCAAACTTCTTTCCACTATGGCTGAACTAAGTTACATTCCCACCAGCAGAGTATGTGTTCCTTTTCTTCACAATCTCTTCAGCATCTATTATTTTTTGACATTTTAATCATAGCGATTCTGACTGGTGTGAGATGGTATCTCATTGTAGTTTTGATTTGCATTCCTCTAATGATGAGTGATGTTGAATATTTTTTCATATGCTTATTGACCAAGTGTATGTCTTCTTTTGAAAAGTTTTCATGTCCTTTGCCCACTTTTTAACGGGGTTGTTTGTTTTTTGCTTATGCATTTGTTTGAATTCCTTATAGGTTTTGGATATTAGACCTTTGTCAGATGTATAGTTTGCAAAAAATTTCTTTCATGCTGTAGGCTGTCTATTCACCCTCTTGATAGTTTCCTTTGCTAGGCAGAAGCTCTTTAGTTTAATTAGATCTCATGTGTCAATTTTTGCTTTTGCTGCAATTGCTTTTGACATTTTCCTCATGAAATCTTTGCCTGTGCCTATGTTGATGTGGTTTGGCTGTGTCCCCACTCAAATCTCAACTTGAATTATATCTCCCAGAATTCCCACGTGTTGTAGGAGGGACCCAGGGGGAGATAATGGAAACATACGGGTCGGTCTTTCCTATGCTATTCTCGTGACAGCGAATAAGTCTCACAAAATCTGATGAGTTTATCAGGGGTTTTCGCTTTTGCTTCTTCATCATTTTCTCTTGCTGCCGCGATGTAAGAAGTGCCTTTCATCTCCCACCATGATTCGCCTCCCCAGCCATGTGGAACTGTAAGTCCAATTAAACCTCTTCTTCTTCCCAGTCTTGTGTATGTCTTTATCAGCAGCACAAAAACGGACTAATACATATGTCCAGAATGGTGTTGCCTAGGTTGTCTTCCAGAACTTTTATAGTTTTGAATTTTACATTTGAGTCTTCAATCCATCTTCAGTTAATTTTTTTTATTTTGAGACACTCTTACTCTGGTTTCACAGGCTGGAGTGCAGTGGCACAATCTCAGCTCATTGCAGGCTCAACCTCCCAGGATCAGGTGATTCTCCCACCTCAGTCTCCCAAAGAGATGGGACTATAGGTGCACACCACCATGCCCGGCTAATTTTTGTATTTTTAGTAGAGACAAGGTTTCACTATGTTGCCCAGACTAGTCTCAAACTCCTGGACTCAAGCAATCCACCAGCCTTGGCCTCCCAGAGTGCTGGGATTAACAGGTGTGAGCCACCACACCTGGCTATCTTCAGTTAATTTTTGTATATGATGTAAGAAAGGGGTCCAGTTTCAGTCTTCTGCATATGCCAAGCCAGAATTTTTCCATTGATTTTCATTCTGTGACCTGTTAAAATAGTTGAGATTTCTAAAAGTCATTTTTTCCTAAATTCTCATAATTGAAATAAAGACGTTCTCAGGAGTGAAATAAGGATGATTGAAATAAGGATTCAAATAAAGAATTAAGACTTTCCCTTACATTTTTGGAGTTTCAAATTGTCATAGTATCTCCACCATAGCAACGTGCTCGCTTAATTTGGAATAAACACATTTGAATAAATAATTTGTAGCCCTTAACGGAGAACTGAGGATCTGTGCACCTACAACACAATGTTGGATCCATGTTTAACTTTATCCTTGTGATGGACACTTCTGCTTTCCCAGGATAAGCCCCTCTAATCATTTCTGGTCTATTACACATATAGAAGATACTCCTGCTTCTTTTACATGCTGCTGTGCTAATCCGGGCTTCTTTCCCTGGCGTGCACTCTTCTTGCATCCCCTTTGTCCCTCAGAGCCCCCCACCACTGGCTCCAGCCTCCACTCTCAGCACAGCTCACACAAGCCCTTTACAGATCACCCTGGTCAGCTCATCATCTCCATGTCAGAGCTCACCTCTCATTCAACTTCTTTCACCTACAGTGTGGGGAGTAAATAGCTTTCCCTAAATCAGGTTAGCTAGGATCACAAGTATATCACTCAATTAGTAATTTTAACAGGAGTGAATTTTCAAAGAGCATTGATTTTTGAAAGGTGTTATAAAAAGCTAAAAATAAAAATTTAAATAAAAAAATAAGGGGCTCAGGCCAGTGGTGGTGGCTCACGCCTGTAATCCCAGCACTATGGGAGGCTAAGGCAGGCAGATCACAAGGTCAGGAGATTGAGACCATCCTGGATAACATGGTGAAACCCCGTCTCTACAAAAAATACAAAAAAATTAGCCAGGCTTGGTGGCGGGCACCTGTAGTCCCAGCTACTCGGGAGGCTGAGGCAGGAGAATGGCATGAACCCGGGAAGTGGAGCTTGCAGTGAGCCGAGATCGCACCACTGCACTCCAGCCTGGGCAATAGAGTGAGTGAGACTCCATCTCAAAAAAGAGAAAATAAATAAATAAATAAAAGGAGCTACAAAGACTTCATGAGGAAAACACCAAAAGCAATTGCAACAAAAGCCAAAATTGACAAATGGGATCTCATTAAACTAAAGAGCTTCTGCACAGCAAAAGAAACTATCATCAGAGTGAACAGGCAACCTATAGAATGGGAGAAAATTTTTGCAATCTACCCATTTGACAAAGGTCTAATATCCAGAATTTACAAGGAACTTAAACAAATTTACAAGAAAAAAAACAACTCCATCAAAAAGTGGGCAAAGGATATGAACAGACACTTCTCAAAAGAAGACATTTATGTGGCCAACAAACGTGAAGGAGAAGCTCAACATCACTGATCATTAGAGAAATGCAAATCAAAGCCATAATGAGATACCATCTCATGACAGTCAGAATGGCAATTATTAAAAAGTCAAGAAGCAATAGATGCTGGCAAGGCTGTGGAGAAATAGGAATGCTTTTACACTGTTGGTGGGGATATAAATTAGCTCAACCATTGTGGAAGACAGTATGGCAATTCCTCAAGGATCTGGAGCCAGAAATACCATTTGACCCAGCAATCCCATAACTGAGTATATACCCAATGGGATATAAATTATTCTACTATGAAGACACATGCACACGTATGTTTATTGCAGCACTATTTACAATTGCAATGTCATGGAACCAACCCAAATGCCCATCAATGATATACTGGATAAAGAAAATGTGGCACATATACACCATGGAATACTATGCAGCCATAAAAAGGAATGAGATCATGTCCTTTGCAGGGACATGGATGAAGCTGGACACCATCATCCTCAGCAAACTAACACAGGAACAGAAAACCAAACACTGCATATACTCACTCATAATTGGGAGTTGAACAATAACACATGGACACAGGGAGGGGAAAAACACACACCTGGGCCTGTTGGGGAGTAGGGGGCAAGGAAAGGAAACTTAGAGGATGGGTCAATAGATGCAGCAAACCACCATGTCACTTGTATACCTATGTAACAAACCTGCATGTTCTGCACATGTATCCTGGAATATAAAGTAAGATAATAATAATAATAAGGAGCTAGAGCCTAAAGGCGAAAAATACCTATTCTTGCCTGCCAACTTGTCTGATTTTCCTGGGAATCATCAACATGCATTTTATTTTGTCTTTCCTGAGCAACCATGTCTTATTTGGCATCTGCATACCATGACACATTTTGTCTGAAGATTTTGGGGAAAATACTCAATGAAGGAGGACTCAACTTCCTCTTCCTTTTTTCATCATATTACTTCTGTCAGGGCTTCTCCTTGGCCAACAGGTTCAAATGCTTTCCCTAGTCCAGTAATTTTCAAAAGGTGGTCTGGGGAACCCTGAGACAGGGAGGCTGAGACTCTTTCAGGGAGCCTGTGAGGTCAAAACTAGTTTCATAACTGTATTATGATATTTATTATTAATCACTTTTTTTCACTTGTGTCCTCTGATGAGTGGGCATGTTTGGAAATCCACCACAGGTTTCTAGCAATAGAAATCTCTAAGATGCAGCTACTCGGGAGGCCGAGGCAGGAGAATCACTTGAACCCCGGAGGTGGAGATTGCAGTGAGCTGAGATCAGTTATTCAGATGTAGTTCATGTAAGTGGCCAGGCAAGGTGCTATCTAAGTTCGTATGTACAAGTATTTCATTGTTACCACAACCTTGGGAGACCAGTACTATGCCCATTTTGCTAGAGTACATCGAGGTTCAAATAAGTTAATTTCTACATCTGTGGCCTGCATAGCCCCAATAGCCAGAATTGGAACCCAAGTTTATCTCCAATGGTTTGACCTCTACAACTTTACAGTAACATCTGTCTGAATAATTATGTGATTTTCCTTTTAAGAAAGTGCTAGTGGCTATAAAAAAAAAAGTTTTCTCTTTACTTATATTTCCATCTAAATTGTGTGATAATGAGTTTTGTGTCTTTACAGATAGAAAATTGGATGTCTGCCTGGCAAATTGGATAAAGGGTCAAGACCCATCAGTGTGCTGTATTCAGGAAACCCATCTCACATGCAAAGACACACATAGGATCAAAATAAAGGGATGGAGGAAGATCTACCAAGCAAATGGAAAATAAAAAAAGGCAGGGGTTGCAATCCTAGTCTCTGATAAAACAGACTTTAAACCAACAAAGATCAAAAGAGACAAAGAAGGCCATTACATAATGGTAAAGGGATCAATTCAACAAGAAGAGCTAACTATCCTAAATATATATGCAACCAATACAGGAGCACCCAGATTCATAAAGCAAGTCCTTAGAGACCTACAAAGAGACTTAGACTCCCACACAATAATAATGGCAGATTTTAACACCCCACTGTCAACATTAAACAGATAAATGAGACAGAAAGTTAACAAGGATACCCAGGAATTGAACTCAGCTCTGCACCAAGCAGACCTAATAGACATCTACAGAACTCTCCACCCCAAATCAACAGAATATACATTCTTTTCAGCACCACACTGCACCTATTCCAAAATTGACCACATACTGGGAAGTAAAGCTCTCCTCAGCAAATGTAAAAGAACAGAAATTATAACAAACTATCTCTCAGACCACAGTGCAATCAAACTAGAACTCAGGATTAAGAAACTCACTCAAAGCCGCTCAACTACATGGAAACTGAACAACCTGCTCCTGAATGACGACTGGGTACATAACAAAATAAAGGCAGAAATAAAGATGTTCTTTGAAATCAACGAGAACAAAGACACAATGTACCAGAATCTCTGGGACACATTCAAAGCTGTGTGTAGAGGGGAATTTATAGCACAAAATGCCCACAAGAGAAAGCAGGAAACATCTAAAATTGACACCCTAACATCACAATTAAAGAACTAGAGAAGCAAGAGCAAACATATTCAAAAGCTAGCAGAAGGCAAGAAATAACTAAAATCAGAGCAGAACTGAAGGAAATAGAGACACAAAAAACCCTTCAAAAAATCAATGAATCCAGGAGCTGGTTTTCTGAAAAGATCAACAAAATTGATAGACCGCTAGCAAGACTAATAAAGAAAAGAGAGAAGAATCAAATAGACACAATAAAAAATGATAAAGGGGATATCACCACCGATCCCACAGAAATACAAACTACCATCAGAGAATACTATAAACATCTCTATGCAAATAAACTAGAAAATCTAGAAGAAATGCATAAATTCCTCGACACATACACTCTCCCAAGACTAAACCAGGAAGAAGTTGAATCTCTGAATAGACCAATAACAAGCTCTGAAATTGAGGCAATAATTAATAGTTTACCAAACAAAAAAAGTCCAGGACCAGACGGATTCACAGCCGAATTCTACCAGAGGTACAAGGAGGAACTGGTACCATTCCTTCTGAAACTATTCCAATCAATAGAAAAAGAGGGAATCCTCCCTAACTCATTTTATGAGGCCAGCATCATCCTGATACCAAAGCCTGACAGAAACACAACAAAAAAAGAGAATTTTAGACCAATATCCCTGATGAACATCGATACAAAAATCCTCAATAAAATACTGGCAAACCGAATCCAGCAGCACATCAAAAAGCTTATCCACCATGATCAAGTGGGCTTCATCCCTGGGATGCAAGGCTGGTTGAACATACACAAATCAATAAATGTAATCCAGCATGTAAACAGAACCAATGACAAAAACCACATGATTATCTCAATAGATGCAGAAAAGCCCTTTGACAAAATTCAACAGCCCTTCATGCTGAAAACTCTCAATAAATTAGGTATTGATGGGATGTACCTCAAAATAATAAGAGTTATCTATGACAAACCCACAGCCAATATCATACTGAATGGGCAAAAACTGGAAGCATTCCCTTTGAAAAGTGGCACAAGACAGGGATGCCCTCTCTCACCACTCCTATTCAACATAGTGTTGGAAGTTCTGGCCAGGGCAATTAGGCAGGAGAAGGAAATAAAGGGTATTGAATTAGGAAAAGAGGAAGTCAAATTGTCCCTGTTTGCAGACGACATGATTGTATATCTGGAAAACCCCATTGTCTCAGCCCAAAATCTTAAGCTGATAAGCAACTTCAGCAAAGTCTCAGGATACAAAATCAATGTACAAAAATCACAAGCATTCTTATACACCAATAACAGACAAACAGAGAACCAAATCATGAGTGAACTCCCATTCACAATTGCTTCAAAGAGAATAAAATACCTAGGAATCCAACTTACAAGGGATGTGAAGAACCTCTTCAAGGAGAACTACAAACCACTGCTCAATGAAATAAAACAGGATACAAACAAATGGAAGAACATTCCATGCTCATGGGTAGGAAGAATCAATATCGTGAAAATGGCCATACTGCCCAAGGCAATTTATAGATTCAATGCCATCCTCATCAAGCTACCAATGACTTTCTTCACAGAATTGGAAAAAACTACTTTAAAGTTCATATGGAACCAAAAAAGAGCCCGCATTTCCAAGTCAATCCTAAGCCAAAAGAACAAAGCTGGAGGCATCATGCTACCTGACTTCAAACTATACTACAAGGCTACAGTAACCAAAACAGCATGGTACTGCTACCAAAACAGAGATAGAGACCAACGGAACAGAACAGAGCCCTCAGAAATAATGCCACATATCTACAACTATCTGATCTTTGACGAACCTGACAAAAACAAGAAATGGGGAAAGGATTCCCTTTTAATAAATGGTGCTGGGAAAACTGGCTAGCCGTATGTAGAAAGCTGAAACTGGATCCCTTCCTCACACCTTATACTAAAATTAATTCAAGATGGATTAAAGATTTAAATGTTAGACCTAAAACCATAAAAACCCTAGAAGAAAACCTAGGCAATACCATTCAGGACATAGGCATGGGCAAGGACTTCATGTCTAAAACACCAAAAGCAATGGCAACAAAAGCCAAAATTGACAAATGGGATCTAATTAAACTAAAGAACTTCTGCACAGCAAAAGAAACTACCATCAGAGTGAACAGGCAACCTACAGAATGGGAGAAAATTTTTGCAATCTACTCATCTGACAAAGGGCTAATATCCAGAATCTACAATGAACTCAAACAAATTTACAAGAAAAAACAAACAACCCCATCAAAAAGTGGGCAAATGATATGAACAGATACTTCTCAAAAGAAGACATTTATGCAGCCAAAAAACACATGAAAAAATGCTCATCATCACTGGCCATCAGAGAAATGCAAATCAAAACCACAATGAGATACCATCTCACACCAGTTAGAATGGCAATCATTAAAAAGTCAGGAAACAACAGGTGCTGGAGAGGATGTGGTGAAATAGGAACACTTTTACATTGTTGGTGGGACTGTAAACTAGTTCAACCATTGTGGAAGTCAGTGTGGCAATTCCTCAGGGATCTAGAACTGGAAATACCATTTGACCCAGCCATCCCATTAGTGGGTATATACCCAAAGGATTATAAATCATGCTGCTATAAGGACACATGCACACATATGTTTATTGTGGCACTATTCACAATAGCAAAGACTTGGAACCAACCCAAATGTCCAACAATGATAGACTGGATTAAGAAAATGTGGCACATATACACCGTGGAATACTATGCAGCCATAAAAAACGATGAGTTCATGTCCTTTGTGGGGAAATGGATGAAGCTGGAAACCATCATTCTCAGCAAACTATCGCAAGGACAAAAAACCAAGCACCGCATATTCTCACTCATAGGTGGGAATTGAACAATGAGAACACATGGACACAGGAAGGGGAACATCACACACTGGAGCCTGTTGTGGGGTGGAGGGAGGAGGGAGGGATAGCATTAGGAGATATACCTAATGTTAAATGACGAGTTAATGGGTGCAGCACACCAACATGGCACATGTATATATATGTAACCAACCTGCACATTGTGCACATGTACCCTAAAACTTAAAGTATAATAATAAAAAAAAAAGAAAACTGGATGTCTGCTCTATTGGACTGTCAGTTGATGCAATAATTGTCTATTAATTTGTATATGAGCCATCAATTAGAATACTATCTCTGTCTTTTTTTTAATCAGAATGATTGTTTTTTTTTTTACAAAGTCAGAATTTCCAAAAATGAATACTCTCAAAATATGAGGTCTGCTCTGTCATGCTGGTTACCTGGCATGATGTTTAAAAGTGGGGGATGTCTGTGAATGAGGTTTGTTTTATGTGGTCTTTGACATTTTAAGAAAGGATAACAGGGCTGTCATTTTCTATTACACTTGTAAATGCAACCAGAGGACTCTGAACAATGGGGCACCCCCAAAAAATTAATAAAAGTTTCCAAAAAGTTGTCTGAGCATCTCGTTAAGATCAAAGAGCTCTGTGGTATTTCCCTTGGGCTTGCGTTTTACATATCAGAGTGTTTCTGCCTTATTGATCATTCATCTGGACCTGCCAATCAGCCTATATGGGTCTGATGTCTTTAAGATCCTCTTACCTCCCCCATAAAAAGAAGGAAATGAAAAAACTGGTTTTAAAAAGGCAGTTGCTGACTCCATGGCACCAACCAATTGATAAAATCCATTTTACTGTTCAGTTGCCTGGCTGTCATGGACTCACAATTGCACATATTAATTTGCTAGTTAGCCCTTTAATTAGCTTTGTCTGCATAATTGTTCCCTTATGATAGTGGTGATGGTAGCATCTTTAACCATTGGGTCTGTTACAATAAAATCTGCTGTACAGATAGTTAAGAGTCAGATAATATAGCAGACTTCTAATTCTATGTCATGGTTCCTTTAAATAATAGACACATTTAAGAGGCCATCTGCCATATTAGAAATGCCTACTTTGAAAACTGCTTTTTTTTTTTTTTTTTCTGAGAGGGAGTCTTGCTCTGTCACCCAGGCTGGAGTGCAGTGGCGTGATCTTGGCTCACTGCAACCTCTGCCTCCCAGGTTCAAGCAATTCCCCTGCCTCAGCCTCCCAAGTAGCTGGGATTACAGGCACCTGCCACCACGCCTGGCTAATTTTGTGTGTGTGTGTGTGTGTGTTTTAGTAGAGACAGGATTTTATCATGTTGGCCAGGCTGGTCTCGAACTCCCGACTTCAAGTGATCCACCCGCCTCAGCCTCCCAAAGTGCCGGGATTACAGGCGTGAGCCACTGCACCTGGTGGAAAACTGCTTTTTTTCTAAAACTGTACATTGCCGAGCTGAACCTGACTCTGACTCCATTTGAATAAGTCACTGTATGGCCTTCATAAGAAAGTTCACTGGGGCCCATTGTTTGGGATACTATTGACTTAACATTCATTAAGAGACCCATAAAAACTTACTTCCTGCATGTTCAGTGCATAGTGTTTAAGCTGTAAATATGGCAATATGGGTGTAAATATTGGCTTAAAACTCTTCTTTGAGTCATTTATTTCCTTTATCTTATTGACTCTAAATTGCCATTCTCTTCTGTTTAGCCTGGCCCTTTCCCAGTCTCCAAATGTGCTTTCTGAATTCCCAGTGGCAGTTTTGTTGGGATTCTTCCCAAAAGAGTCAGGGGGCACCAAATGAGGATACTTTTGTTCTCACTCTGTTCCAGACACTCCGTAGCTGCTGAACACGAAGACGGCACTCCACTGGGATGACCTTTGATTCTTGGCAGAGAATAGTGATTTCACTAAGGGAATTCACTCTGGCTGATGGGTCTCTAGTGTTTGTCAAGATCTCTGTGGAAACAAACATTCAGAGGGTCTTTGTAGAAAAGTCCAGAAATAATTGAGCAAGTCAGGAGATCCTTACCCCTAAAAAATGTCAGGTTACACTGAAGGACTCCCTAATTGATGCCCTTGCATAAATTATTGCTGCTCCCTACCACTTTCCCTTTTCCCTTTAACTGAGAAAAATACAAAAGAAAAGTCAACTGAATCAAGACATAAATTCATTTTTACAGCTGAATAAGCTTTGTCTTTGGTTGTTTTAAAAATGAAATAAATGGAAAAATATTTGTTGGAGAATAATAAACACACCCAGGTACTTGCTGCTATTCTAAGGCTGGGCTAAGATTGAAGTGGCTCGGTAAGACCACCTGTGTTTCTTGGTTTGAGCCCAACAGAGCTTCAGAATTTGTATAGTTGGTTTCAGTCCAGCGACCTGGCTACATTCTTGGATCTCTTACTCAACATGAGGCATCAAGATCACTGGAAACTTTAACAAAAACATCAACAACTGGAAGAGCCAGTTAGCCTATGGTTTGACCCCCAGGCTGCACACCCTTACATCAATCTATTTCTAGTCTTCTGGGAAATTAGTTCAGCCTTCAAGGCAGGAGAAGGGGCAACCTGAGGGTACAGCTGCTCATCCCCCTCAGGAGATGAAGAATCCACAATCACCCCAAAGCACACATTTCCATGCTTGCTTTTAAATCTGCTTTCCACTTGGCCGAAGGGATGCCTCCATAACAACTCTGAAGGCATCAAAGAAAAAGCAACATACTCTGTCACATTCCACTATGGAATCCAATAAAAGAAACATAACTCAAAATCATTTCAGAAGCAATTAATAAATCGCTACTCAGAAGCAGTTCCTCAAGGAAGCTTGTTCTTCAGCCCAATAATCTGAAACACATCCGGAAAACAGTAGCCGAGGAGGATGAAAAAGATAACAAATCTTATTTTCCACTTGTCCTTTTGGTATACTTCAAAATAATTTGGATACTTTCTGAAGTAGCTGTTTTGAATAGTTTTAGTTAAATTTCCAAAGGTCTACTAAGTCCAGCTACCTTTATCTAAAGAAGATGGTGAAATAGCCATACCAACTTTAATAATAGCAAGCTAGAGGTATAGTCAATATCATTAGTGAGCTAGGTACCTTAGTCTTATTATTCAGTTTTCCAGTACCCATCTGTGTGACCTTAAGTAACTTAACCCCTCAGAGTTTTTAGATGAAAACAAAAAGATAGGATAACATTCTCATTTCCCACAGTGCATTTCATGAGTACACTGGGTTAATAGGTATTATGTGCAAAAAGAGTTTCACTTTTTTTTGTTTCAGAAATGCTGTATGAAACAAACTTAAATTGAGTTTCACCAGTGGATTGCTCATGTCTTTTAATATACTAATTATCATTATAAATTGGGGAGAGGGGTTATACTATGAAGCAATATCTAAATTTATTTGACCACAGGAGCATCATGGGAATAGTACACTCCAAGCTTTCTTCCAGCTCTGAAATTCCATTTTTCAGTCTGAAGGAGCTAATTGCAAATTGGCATGTACACAAAGGTCATCATCACAGCAATTATTAATCATCATTGAATGATGTGCTTCACAGGTGAATGTGTGGCAACATGGAACAGAGCAAGAATATATAAAATCCTACTTCAGTAGGAGGGTTTTTCTATTCTCCTCTTATTCTCTTAACCCTTGAGGGGCTGATCTCCTATCTTATGTGGCCTTGTTTGGAGAGATAAGGCCCCAGACTCACCATAGTGTAAACTGGTATTACTCATTACTGGTATTACTCATTGCACCCTATTATTCTCCTTGCCTTCCGTATGGAGCAATAGAAAGTCTAAATAATCAAAAGATCTGTTTTTCTACTCAGCATTTATTCATCACATCTCTACCATTATTTTCCAGGAAATAAAATCAAATTTATTTTTAGAACATTTTAAAGCAATAGCCCCAGTTAGAGCCCTGTGCTATGACTAGAATAGTTTCCCTAATCTAATATTCATGGATGACTGACTCATGTTCAATATTGAATTTTATAAGTTTCTTTCTCTTTCTTGTAATTATAACTTAGGCATCCCAGGATAAAAAAGCAAAAACGAGAGTGAATGTGAAGTAAATGAATTGTATTTCCAGTGACAATTCTGTTAGTGTTTTTTTTTTAATCTGTATTGCCTTCTTCTCCCAAATTATAAAAGGTATAAAAATGATTTGTGATTACTCTGTGGATATGGTAAAAAGTATAAAGTTAATTAAATTTTAAGTAGATTAACATTTTAATTATTAATAAAGATAAAAACATTTTTCCTTGTCAACAATTATTCATCTACTTGACGACTTCAGTGGTTACATCCATGTGTGGTCATGTTATAACTTATTTAATGTGTGGTGGCCATAAAAATGCTCCTCTCAAATCTCCTACTGCATGAAATATTATTGACTGATGGCTTCAGCTGCTACTCTTGGAATCCACCTCTGAACCTGTGCAAAAGCCACATTTCTAGTGGGTATTCCCGAGAGACACAGGACCCCTTTGATAGGTGCCTTTGGCTGGAGGACTCCTTATCAACATTGCCAAAACTTTGTTAAAACTGCGCTGCTGTCTAAGACTCTTCCACCCAAACTTCCTTCCTCCCCTCTCTCTTTCACCACGGTGAGAACTGCATGGTATTTTGATGGCTATCTCTCTCCGTCTCCCCTCTTGGGTGTTTGCCCTGTTGCATTATTAATCTTATCTCAGTTTTTGTTTCTTGGAAGACCCAGGCTAACACGAACCAATTCCCTATTGTTGGACACAGGCTATCATGCATTTTGTTTGTTTGTTTTTATTAAATTGGATTGCAATGAAATTTCTTGTAAGATATGATACATGGCTATTATTAATTAATTTTTTAGTATGTAATCTTAGACGTATAATTGCTGCTGGCTGCACGGGAAGTATATTTTTTAGGGCTTTTGATACACATTGGAAAACTGACCTCCAAAAGTTATTCCAATTTACTTTTTTATTTTGAGTTGTTTATGTTTTTTCTTAGTGACTTTCAAGAGAGTTTTACATAGTAAGGGCAATGAACAGTGAAATAATTTTAAATATTAGCAAGTATTGGCATAAATAATCAATTCTAAGTCAAATAACCTTAATAAGTGAATTCCACTTACTGTCATAAAACCTAAACCTCCCCCACATTCAAGATACACATACAAACTCACAGCATCTAGAAAATATTGTACATGATATTATTAAATTGAACAAAACAAAATAGAAAAAATATTGTCTTCTGGAAGAATTCCTGTGGAGCCAATAATATAAAGAAGCAGCCCAACCTCATATTGTTGGTAAATCATCTTGGTGAACAGCTAACAGAATCTGGCTAGAGATAGCAGAGGAATTTTGTGTGGGCATGTGCATTAGTTTACTTTCCAAAATAATTCCATCTGGATGCATGAGAAATGTTCTATCTGTTTCAGCTCATTAGGAGATGAGATTCAAGCAAACATGTTCATTGATTTAACATGCTTGATCCCCTAGACATGAGTCATCCATTTCAATTTGCTCCACCAAGTTTGGAGATGGAAGACAACCCATAAGCATTTTCTAAATTGTCCATTAATTGATAGCTTAGAAAGCCATAATATTTTATTGGCTTTCTCTAAATCAGGACCCAAAACAATTAGAAACATGGGAAGTGGGAAGGAATGAATGGTTTAAAGCTCAGCTCTAATTTATTTTCATTGAGTCTTCAACAGGTCAAGGAGACAACTTCACTAATTTTAAGTAAAATGGCCCTGCTCAGAGATACATTATAGAAGGCTTACTTTTCTACACTCTGAGTCTCAACTTAAAATTGGCTTGAAAAGTGTACTATAAGAGTTTAAAATTTGCATCATTTCCACATGTAGACAATGTTTATTTCCTGTTCACTTCTACAGACAACTACGGCATTCCCAAGTTAATAACAAAAAATCCTACTAAGCCCATAATGGACTGTACGGGCATTGTGAGGGTTACAAAGAAGCCATGTCTCCCCACCCTTAGGGTCTCCCTGGCTAGTGGAAAACAGAAATGATAATGCCTGAAAAACCATTTAGGTCCACTTAAGAGCTCCAAAGTATCAACTTACTTTTAAGGGGCACTAATAGAGGGAGCTTAACATTTGCATTACTGACTTGAGCAAAACAAAGGAAATGAAACCGTGAGCCTATTAGAAGGACCAATGAAAGATGCAGACTTTCAGAATGTTACATATTAATTTTCCCAGAAAATGAACACAATTTCAACTTTTAGTGCATCTTTGGAAGCAATGATCTATAAAGACCATTGTGTGTTAATATCTTTACAACAAATTTCTCCATTTTGAATCTGACTACTAGACCATTAACAATAGAGAGATATGTGCCTGTGCGTGTCTGTGTGTGTGTGTGTGTGGTCATTTTAATTGTGTGGTGTATTACTGCTGTTAGGATATTTTTTAGTACTGGAAAAATGACACTAACAGCTGTATGAAATAAACCTGTAAGCAAAACTACTAGAAATAGCACAAAGAATGCACAAGCATATATTTGTATATAATCAACCAAACCATTAAGATTTTTCAGGACCAAGTGATTTAAAATAATGTTTTCTCCATTTAAATTATGATGACAGGCCAGGCACAGTGGCTCACGTTTGTAATCCCAGCACTTTGGGAGGCCAACGTGGAAGAATTGCTTGAGGCCAGGAGCTAGAGACCAGCCTAAACAATATCATGAGACCCTGTCTCTCTAGAAAATCTTAATTAAAAAAAAATATGATGTCAGAAATGCATCTGTTTTTATCAAAGCCCAAAGAAGTTGGGCAACTGAGGATCAGTGTAGGGCCCCAGCTGCTTGTTTGCCCCTCCAGTTTGGATTAGTTGAGTTATTGATATGGCTTGGATGTGTGTCCCTGCCCAAATCACATGTTGAATTGTAATCTTCAATATTGGAAGTGGGGCCTGGTGGGAGGTGATTGGCTCATGGGGCAGATTTCCCCCTTGCTGATGTTCTTGTGATAGTGAGTGAGTTCTCATGAGATCTGTTCATTTAAATAGTGTGGGGCATCTCCTCTGTCTCTCTCTTGCTCCGGCTCTGGCCGTGGAAGACGTGCTGGCTTCCCCTTTGCCTTCCACCATGAAAGCTTCTTGAGGGCTCCCGAGAAGATGTCAGTGAGAGGTGAGGCCAGCTGGACTTCTTGGGTTGTGTGGGGATTTGGGGAACTTTCCTGTCTTACACGAGGATTGTAAAACACACCAATCAGCACTCTGTAAAATGCACCAATAAGCAGGATTATAAAAGTAGCCAATTGCGGGGAGGATTGAAAAAAGGGCACTGTGATAGGACAGAAATGGAACATGGAAGGGGACAATAAGGGAATAAAAGTTGGCCACCCCAGCCAGAAGCAGCAACCTGCTCGGGTCCCCTTCCATGCCGTAGAAGTTTTGTCCTTTCACACTTCACAATAAACCTTGCTACCACTCACTCTTTGGGTCCATGCCATCTTTAAGAGCTATAACACTCACCGCCAAGGTCTGCGGCTTCGTTCTTGAAGTCAGTGAGACCACGATCCCACCGGCAGGAACCAATTCTGGACACACCAGCATCATGCTGTTGCAGGACTTTTCCTTAGTTCAGCTAAAGACAGAGTTCCTGTCTGTCCCACAGCCACAAAAATTTAGGCTTGCAAATGGTTTAAAGGGTGGGTAAAGCATGGTTTTATTGGGTGAAAGAGGGAGAAAAAAGGGGAAACAGGGATCCTCTGCAAGGCCAGAGTCCCCTGTTAGAGCACTTACCTCCTGCCATTTGAATCCCAGCTTCCACACAGGAAGAGGAGGGGCCAAGCTTCTCCCCGCTGCAAAGGGTACCAACTACCTGAGGGTCCACTTCAGTGGGCAGGCTGGTTGGAGTTTCTCCAGGGTCCACATTTCACCTGGTTGTCTCATTCCCAGCTATAAAGAAGTACTTCTAACCGTTGTTAGACTGAAGATAAGGACAAAGACCCATCTTAACAGCTTCCTGCTGACAGGGGGCGCCATTTTGGGGAAACAGCAGTCAGAGCTCCCCCACAGTCCTATCTAAGGGTTCCCAGCAAAAGGGGCCATCGTCAAAGGCTCCGGTTGCATGACGAGTGTGATGGCCTAAAGGCAAGAACAAACTAAGTTGTTAGAAAACATGTATTAAAACGAAACAAGGAGAGGAATAAGGACAGCTCAGAAATTCTGAGGCCTTTTACCAGTTTGCCCAGGGAGAGGGAGGCCAAGAGCCCAGCTGGTTAAAAAAAAAACTTCACTCTTTTGCTGGCATGTCAGGCTTCTGGGTTCCCTTCCCCTGAGCCCAGTCCTAAGCCAACCAGTTTAAGATTTGAGAAATTAACTCTTTCCAGTTTGGAGGATGCATTTGTGGGGAGTGTTCCATACTAGAGAGACGCAATTACTATGAGTGAAGACAGGATAGAGAAGAAGGAGTTTTTTCAAAGGAGTCCCAGGGGTTTAGGATGCATTTGAAAAGGGTACAGACTGAAGGTGAATGGCTAGCCATCTAGAAAGCGGGGAGCAGGCATCCCTGCTTCTCTTCTCTTCCTAGCAGATACCCAGGGTACTTGAGGTAGAGAGGGAAGAGTGTCCTCTTTCCCTCTTCCATCCTCGTATTTCTGAGTTCCGGCGACCTTGGCAGGTGCCACCATGGACATCAAAGCGGCTCGCACCCATGAAGCAGCGGGGGCTAGAGAGTAGGAATTATCCACTCTCCCCTATGTCTCTTTCCCACCTACTGTCAGTAGCCTTGGAGTTCCCTAGACCTCATTTATGCCATGGATACTAACAAGGCCTTTATCCATGAAATAGGAAGCTTGGGCTTGGCTAATTTAGCAGGAATCAGCCATGCTCACCTGCGCTGTACCTTTTAACTTTCATTATTACCTGCTTCTGGATCCCTCAGATCCAGTTTTCCTTCCTAGGGCTTTGACCCAAAGCTTGGAATTGAGTCTGGGACAAAAATGTGTTTGGGGGGTGTTGCATGGGCTCCTTATTATAAGCCAAATGCTATGGTGAAACTGTGGAACTGGGTCCTCCTCCAACAAGAAAGACAAAAGGATGTCTTGTGACACAACCAGATAACTGGTGTCTGTAGTTATGCTTGCTAAGATTTGGGTGCATGGTGCTTGGCTTTGGTTAATTCTCTTGGTTTTACTTTCCCAAAAGGAAACCTCCAAGTGGTGGGCATCCTATTTTTTCCCCATCACTTGGCAGGATTTGCAGGATAATTGGTCAGAACTAGAATAGCGATTCAGATGTCTACATTACCCATCCCTTTTGTTCTTTCTGAGCTGTAGCCAGAAATTTCTAGTGGGTTCACAGGAACAAGTAGGGTTAGTCTAAAATGCAGGCAAAAACTTAAAAACTAACGAGTTTAGAATTTAATGACCAATGTATGATAAGTTTTGGAACACAATTTTTCTCTTTCCAGTCCTCATTTTTGTTAACAACAACAACAACAACAACAACAAATTATGATAGCACTGAGTTGTTTGCAAAATAGACTGTAGTTTTATATTTGGCCTGATTATTTGCATAAAGTGCAGCAAGAATGGTTATTTCTACGAAGGCCTTTTGGACTGGCTTTGATGGAAGTTTGTTCCACAAGGAATCTCAGATAAGACCTTTTAAAACCAAACCCAGACATGGGTTTGCATCCTTAAAAACCTATGAGTTGGGTGATCCTCTCCTCTTAAGGTCCCAAGATAAACCTGGAGCTCCTAACCTGTTAGAAAGTGACGACATTTTTTTTTTTTGAGATGGAGTCTCACTCCATCTCCAAGCTGGAGTTCAGTGGCTGCAACCTCCGCCTCCCGGGTTCAAGTGATTCTCCTGCCTCAGCCTCCCAAGTAGCTGGGACTACAGGCACACACCACCATGCCCAGCTAATTTTTGTTTTTCTAGTGGAGATGGGGTTTCACCATGTTGGCCAGGATGGTCTTGATTTCCTGACCTCATGATCCACCCACCTCAGCCTCCCAAAGTGCTGGGATTACAGGTGTGAGCCACCAAGCCCTGCCAAAAGTGACATTCTTTGCTGACCACAGGTCAGGAACCCTGTACAGGGACTGTATAGACAAAGGTATGAGGCCAGTCTCCCATGGGGCTTTTATCAGATCTGTAAGTTCAGCTTGACTCCTTAAAGGGAAGCATACTCTTCCAGTCAAAGCCTTGGTAAAATAACCATTTTATCTAATTGTGTCCTGTTGCAAAGAAAAATGGAATCTTATTGCACTGATGCAAACAACTATATTGCCACAGGTTAGAATACTCACAGATAGTTTCCAAATTCTAGAGGAATCAAGCAGAGGGAAACAAACATGCTCCAAATCTTAATTTTTTTTTTTTTTTTTGAGATGGAGTCTTGCTCTGTTGCCCAGGCTGGAATGCAGTGGCTCAATCTTGGCTCACTGCAAGCTCTGCCTCCCAGGTTCACACAATTCTCCTGCCTCAGCCTCCTGAGTAGCTGGAACTACAGGCACCTGCTACCACGCCCGGCTAATTTTTTGTATTTTTTAGTAGAGACGGGGTTTCACTGTGTTAGCCAGGATGGTATCAATCTCCTGACCTCATGATCCTCCCACCTCAGCCTCCCAAAGTGCTGGGATTACAGGCATGAGCCACCGTGCCCGGCCATATCTTAGTTAATTATTAAAGACCATAAATAGTTGAAATAAGTTTCCTTGACTCTGAAAAACAAAACAAGAATCATCAACATTCCAAGCGAAAGTCAAAAAGTTCCTTCAACTTTCTGAATTCAGTCCATTTAGTAAACTCTGGTTTTGCTTGATATTCAAGGGCATTTCAGCTCTTCATGAGTCCTGTACATTTTCCTTTATTCCAATGTACAATCTCTAAAGTTATCAGAAGCCTGTATTTGAAAGCACCTGTTAAACTTCCATAGCTCATTATAAACCATCTTTGAAAAGGATTAAAACAAAATAATTGTGTGTGAATAGCAAAATGTCCAGGGTAGTTACAGTTAAGAAACATGACTGACAAAGAAGTTTGGTTATCTCTGTAGTTCACAATAACTTAACATAACAACCTTAATTATAATAGGTAGTATATACTCAGACATTTGAATTTTAGAAATCTCATACAACTTTGGAACATATATTAGCATTGTTTACCAAGATATAACCTAAAGAAGATTGAACATCATTTGGGCAATTCCATGTACCTAAACAAGTCAAATAATCCTGTTTACCTCTCTTTTCTGGACATTCCAGGGGCCCTCTGGACTATCCGAAAAGCCAGGTGTCAGGAAAGACAATTTTGAAACTGAAATTTGATTTGGGGAAGGCCATTAAATGTTCGAGGTTTAAAACACTTAAAGTTATGAAATAGAATTCCAGGTTGCCATAAATTATTTATTTTGCCAAAATGATGACTCAAAAATCTTAAAGAAGCATAAAGCTTTTATAACCCTTTACAAATTTTGCCAAAGATCATATTAGCACCCTAGGAAAACTTTGTTATGCTTTTATTTCAATGCTCAATTTACAGAAAAACCATATAATATCCTTTTTTAATTTAGTCAATATGTTCACACAGAGAACCTCTTCTGCAAGATTATCCCAACAATGCTTCTATTATTTCTTTGAACCTTCAGCTTTTTCCTATCTAATTTAAAACAATCCTTTGACCCTAAACAAAAGTTTACATTTCCATGCCTTCTTATAACCTTTTACTAAAAACATCACATTTTACTGTTGTTACACATCTTCTGTGTAAATCTATTTCTAGTAGTTTCAATTAACTCCTAGCAATTTTTAACTTTAAGGTAAAACTTGGTAAGTTGCTTTAATTTTGTGCTAATTGCAGCCAAGCTTTGCGTTCTTAGTTAAGGGCATGGTTCCAATTTCATATGTCCCCAGGCCTTACCAACTGTGAAGCTGGCAAGTTAAATAGTTCTCAAAACCCAAAGGACAGTTTGTAACCTCAAGACAGTTAGCAAACCTTGCATCTGACCTGGATTTTACCAATAGTCTTTAAGGCTATTTTTATTTCTTAAAGATTAAAGTCATGTGAACTGAAAGGTTCCACCGCTTTTAACTTCCCTTTAAAAAATATTAGATCCAAGTGCCTCTCTTTCTTTAGGCCAAGTTAATTAGAACTCTTTTTACAGACATCACATACAGTACAAACACACACAGGCAAAAGAAAACCCAGTCCCCAGATGGGGTTTTTTAAGAGACAGGGCTAGGAGAACAGGCAGATATCGAACGTCTTTTAAAGGGGAAAAAAACTTTAAAGATTAACTGCTGATGGGGTAGAGAAGGGAAAAGAAAAAAGAACACTTTAAAAATGCCTAGGGAAGAACCTCTTATTCTTAGGCAAGTGGTTCCTCCATCAGGAGAAAAGTTTAGTTACTGCCCAATAAAGCTGAACCCCTTGGCCAAGGAAGGAGAAGGCTGTGGCAGCTTGTGGCTGGGAACCAGTCAGCTGACTGTACAGGACCCTTGGGCCATGTGTTCCACCCCTCGCTTGGAGGGGAGGGGTGGCAAGGAGCCCCTACTTGCCTGTCCTTATCAAAAAAGGAAGGAAAGGACATTTCCCCTAACTCCCAGGAGTGATGGGGTTTGGGGGCATGTCTCCCCCAGCCTCAGAAGTCCAAGGATGAAAATGCTTAGGAGCAACAGTGAGAGGTTTTGAATGCCCATTTCACTCACAGCTTCTTGAGCCCCACGTTGGGCGCCAAAAATGTTGCAGGACTTTTCCTTAGTTCAGTCAAGGACAGGGTTCTTGTCCTTCCCATGGCCACAGAAATTTAGGCTCACAGACAGTTTAAAGGGTGAGTAAAGCAGGGTTTTATTGGGTAAAAGGAAACAAAGGGGGAAACAGGTTTCTTCTGCAAGGCCAGGGTCCCCTGTTAGAGTGCTTCCCACCTGCCATTTGAATCCCAGGTTCTGCATAGGAAGAGGAGAGGCCAGGCTCCTCCCCCGTGTAGAGAGTGAACTTCCTGAGGCTCTACCTCAGTGGGCAGGCTGGTTGGAGTTTCTCCAGAGTCCCCCCGCAACCTGGTTGTCTCAATGCTTCCTATACAGCTTGCAGAACTCTTAAACCTCTTTTGTGAACCAATTAAACCTCTTTTCTTTATTACCCAGTCTCAGGTATTTCTTTATAGCATTGCAAGAATGGACCAATATAATTATCCTTGACTTTCTGTCCTAAATGGTAAAATTGGTCATTTCATTGTGTAAAGTTAAAGACCATCATGCTTTTTCCAAAAACGAGTACATTTCAGGGGCAGGAAAAGTTCCTGTTTGTGGTGGTAGAATAATGTTCATGTTCTAATCCCCAGAAATATGCAATAGTACATGGTTAGTTCAGGTGGAGTTCAGGTTGCTTATCAGCTGACTTTAAAATATTGAGATTATCCTGGATTATTTGAGTGGGCTTTAAATGGGAGACAGAGAAGCAAAAGAGTCAGATCCAGGGAGACAGCATGAGGAAAAAGATTTGACAGCAATTGCTGGCTTCAAAGATGGAAGGGACCCGTGGGCCAAAGAATGCAATCAGCTTCTAGAAGCTGGGAAAGGCGTGAAAATGGATTCTCCCACAGGGCCTTCAGAAAGTCATGCAGCCATGCCTACACCTTCATTTCAGCCCAATGAAAGCCATTTCAAAATGTGACCTTCAGAACTGTAAGAGAAATTGATGTTTTTTTAAGCCACTATGTTTGTGGTAATTTGTTACAGCAGCAATAAGAAGAAAATATATGGTATAATTAATTCAGTCATTTGGGATTTTCAAAGGTGAAGATGTGCATACACATTATATGTATAATGTAATATATTATATGTATAACTATACATATAACATATAATATAATACATATATACACACATGCATATATTTCATGTGTGTTTATTTGCAATGCTATTCTGAGTTTTTAATCATGATGGCAGGCTAAACTCTCTAAATTCAGATAAAGATTTCATAAATACCTTTTTTTTTTGACAGAGTCTTGCTCTGTCTGCCAGGCTGGAGTGCAGTGACACGATCTCAGCTCACTACAACCTCCATCTCCCAGGCTCAAGCGATTCTCCTGCCATAGCCTCCCGAGTAGCTGGGATTACAGGCATGAGCCACTGTGCCCGGCCATAAATAGCTATTTTTAGTGAGAATAACCCAGATATAGTAGTGTAAAATTGCTTGGAAAATCTCAACTCTTAAAAGGTAATTCTTGGCCAGGTGCAGTGGCTCACACCTGTAATCCCAGCACTTTGGAAGGCTGAGGCAGGTGGATCATGAAGTCAAGCGATCAAGACCATCCTGGCCAACATGGTGAAACCCCATCTCTACTAAAAATACAAAAATTAGCTGGGCATGTTGGCGCGCACCTGTAGTCCCAGCTACTTGGGAGGCTGAGGCAGGAGAATTGCTTGAACCTGGGAGGCAGAGGTTGCAGTGAGTTGAGATCATGTCACTACACTCCAGCTTGGTGACAGAGCAAGACTTCATCTCAAAAAAGGTAACTCTTATATTAACTTGGAGGGGAGCTCTATAACTAGAGACTCATCTCTGGGGAAAATAAAGGCTTTTGGTTGTCAGCTCCTTCATAACTGTGGTAGCTCTGGGGCTAAGCTGCCTGGGTCCCTCTTGATTCTGCCACTTAGCAGCTATATGAACATGGTTGACTTATTTGAACTCTCTTGGCCTTATTTTGCTCATCTTTAAAATACTAACAGCCCTAGTACCTAGCTCATCAGATGATTATGAGGACTAAGTGAGTGAATTCATTCACTGCATAACACAATGCCTAGCACACTGTAAGTATTCGATAAATGGTATCTATTATTATTTTAGTTAGGTCTGTTCAACTCTCCATGTACCTCTTTTGAAATAATATCTTCCTTGTATTATAGGAATATGTCTAATTTTCAACAAATAATAGGCTCGCCATGTAGATAAAAATGCAATGTCTTGTGGGATACAGAGGCTCATCTCTGTAATCCCAGCACTTTTGGATGCGGAGGCAAGAAGATAGTTTGACCCCAGGAGTTCAAGGTCAGCCTGGGCAACCATAGTGAGACACTGTTCCCCACCCCAAAATGGAAAAAATTGCAATGTCTTTATTACATACATGTTTATTTCCTTACAGGGTCTAACACTGTCTTGAAAATATTGTTGCTCAACAAATAGCTTCCAGCTTGTTTTATCTAAAAATTCTAAAATTCTTAGTAAAAATGTAACTCATGACATTACTGCTGGGTAGGAATGTCTCCAGGTTTCCAAAAATTATAAAGGAAAAGAAAAACTGGATTTAAATCTACCGCAACCCCAATAAATTCAACAAAGTTGAATAGAAAGAAATTGAGCCATTTTTCTTCATTCTTACTTAAGAATTTCCTACCCATATTATAAAAGTGATTTTTGTTTCTATTTTCCATTTCTTCCACCACAACATTAATGCCTTAAACTCTGCTAGACTATGTTCCATGATGTGGGAGTCTTACTCACCTCTTGTGCCCACAGATTTTGAACCCTTTGAGTAATGGACAAAAAAGTCAGATAGTGATTAAAATATAAGCTTTCTTCTCTCCAAAGTAGGGTTGAAGAATATGATTTGGGTCTGCAATAAAAACAAAGCTTCTTCAACTTTCTCCCAATCTAGACCTTGGGACTTGGCTAAGGAGAGAGTCTGTAAATCAGACAGTTGCTCAGTCTGCAGCCCAGCAAATCCTGGTGAGCCTCTCTTATGTCAAGACTCAAGAAAGAGGACAGCCAGGTGCAGTGATATGTACCTGTAATCCCACCTACTCAGGAGGCTGGGGCAGGAGGATTGCTTGAGCCCAGGAGTTTAAGGCCAGCCTGCACAACAGTGAGACCCTGTCTCTTACAAAAAAAAAAAAAAAAAGGAAAGAGGGAGACAGGTCTCCAGACCCAAGACCCTGCCCCAGGAAGCCTTATCAAGTCAGGGGCAAGTGTTAGGGGAGGACACATTTGCCTTCTGGGGAGGCTTGTCTAGAAAACAGGTCTTCCAGAAGTAGCTGAGCTGTATATGCAAACTTTTTTGTTTAAAAAAAACAATTTATTAAGGTACGACTAACATATAAAAAGCTGCACTTATTTAGTAAGACAACTCGAAGGGTTTGGAGACATGCTGCCTATGCATTCTTACAAGGACAAGTCATCCCTCCCTTAGGAAGGAGTCATGAGTGACCATGGAAGGAAAAGTGTAGGGTTCTCTCCAGTGCTTTTAGTGTTTGTTTAATGGTTCCACCTTTATGGGAAAAGTGAGAAATTCCAGGAGATAGTTTCAACAAAATATTGCTGTCCTCCCTGCTTCCCCATAGCTGTGTCTCATCTGCCCTATGTTCTTTCTGAGAGTTCTGTAACTCAATGAATTTCCTGGGCATGGGTATACAACATACTTGCTTTCTCTGCATATATGACATACTCGTTTGGTCAGCTAAAATAATTGTCACCTATAAGCTTTCCTGTGTTAATAATACTTAGTGTGTTCTCCCCTGATCATCCCAGTCTTCCCTCAAATGTAACCACTTGGTATAAGCATCCCAGAGTTGAAGGGGTGATTACTCCAAACAAAGCTTTGAAAAAGTGGCTCTGTACTCTTCACAATAGCAAAGATATGGAATCAACCTAAGTGTCTATTAACAGGTGATTTGGTAAGAAAATGTGGTATATGTATATGATGGACTATGACTCAGCCATAAAAGGAATGAAATTATGCCTGTTGCGGCAACATGGATGGAACTAGAGGCCCATTATCCTAAGTGAAACAACTCGGAAACAAAATGTCAAATACTGAATGTTCTCACTTATGAGTGGGAGCTAAATAAAGTGTACACATGGACATAGAGTGTGGAATAATAGACACTGAAGATTTGGAAAGGTGGGAGAGAGGGAGGGGGTGAGGGATGGGAAATTACTTAACAGGTACAATGTACACTATTCAGGTAATGGTTGTACTAAAAGCCCAGACTTCACCACTATGCACTGTATTCATGTATCAAAACTACACCTGTACCCCTAAATTTATGCAAATAAAAAATAATAACAAAAGAGTGGCTCTGAATAGTTCTCTGGATAAGATCCTCTCAGGGGAAATCATTTCCGTTTATCATCTGAGAACTTACCTCCCCTCCTGTATGAGATTTCCTTGGATACCAGTCAAACTCTCTGATGTAGTGACAGACAATGAAGCTTCTTTAAAAGCAGTGTACCTCCTTTAGGCTTACATGGGTGGTAGGTTTAGCCCGGCCTAATCTCCAAGACAACAGATTTTTTTCTAAAGAAATCCTTTTCTTACTCCAGCCTGGTTGGAGTGCCGTTAGCTTTTGGTCTCTTTCTACTCCTGTTCAGACATCAAAACCAAAGCATATTTTAAAAATCAGTCTTTTTCCTTCTTGAGATTCTGAGCAATTGAGCTTCCTCCAGACTGAGTGTTCTAAGCGGGAATCTCACAGAGGATGTGCCTCATGTGAAGAACAAGGATGGCACCATGTCCAGGAAGGAGGAGATCCGACATGAGAGCAGCAAAAAGAATCACTGGGCTTATAGTGAAGAGGGATGAGGATTATAATGACAGTGGAACACCAGAAATGAGGGGGCTTCCTTCATACTGGAGAGGTCAACCACCTCCAGGAAAGACATCCTCAAAAAGAGAAACTGATAGGATAATTGATGTGCTGAAGGCATAAGTTTGGCGTTGAGCTAATGACAATTATTGACTCCACACATACAAAAAAGTAATACAGAAAAGAAACAATTACATCAATTACATTATACTGTAGAACTCAGCTACCAATCATGTTTTCACTATCACAGTGATAAAATCCTGAAGATTGAATTTACCAACATTACAATATATTTGGAGAGTGGGGTGTGGGGAGGTTGTATGCTGGAAGATGGGGTGTGAAAGAGACCTAAATCCTCATTCTCAAAAATGGGAAGTCAATAAATAAGGGCTAAAGAAATAAGCGATATCTACAACTTCAAAGCCAGGAAGTAGTGAAGTAAGTATGCTCTTTGGTCATTTGGAGGCAAAAAAACAAAAGAACCAGTTATATGAGTTGAAAAGTGGCTTCCATTGGAGAGAAAGAGGAGAGTAGAGGAGCACTGAGCTGCCATATATCTAAACAAGCCTCGTATAACTAGAGCGTACTTCGAATGTCATGCATGTATATAATCGTGTTCAATAAACAACCTCATAAAATTGAAATTTTACATTTAAGAGTCCAACAGTGTGTTTTAATAAGCACCCAGACCTCCTACCTCTGCTGAACCTTGATCTCTCCAAGTGCTTTTGTTGTTGCTGTTGTTGTTTTTATGCAAGCTAGCCCTTGTGCCTGGATTTCAAGCTTTCCTAGTGAATTCACTATGGGATCAAGAGTTCTGAAGGTATATATTTTGCAAAGAGGGCATTACCCACACTTTATTCCCCAACCCCCTCTAAGAGTAACACCTATTGAACAAAAACTTCAAAAGCCGAATAGAAATCCAAATATCTTATACTTTAGTTGTAAACCTGGACTGAAAAATAAGATTTGGCTCTTCATCAAAAAGGGGCTTCCTTCAAGTTTTTTTCCAGTCTAGACCTAGAATGCCTTGTATGGAGAATCTGTAAGCAGCATGGCCAAGTTTGCAGCCAGGAGTGAGCCCATCAAGGCCCAAGGCTCAGATGGGCCCCAACCTGTCTTTAGGTAGTAGGTGCTGGGCCCTGACCAAGATGTGCCTTACATGGGAGGAACAAGAGGGGATAAGTATATGCCCAACCCTCCAGGTAGGCTTGGCTGAAAAAGAGAGAGCCCAGAATATATAAACTGGACATGCTAAGATGTGCATTATCTCTGCCTTATCTCAGCAAATTGTTCCTGTTACTTTAAGGGCAAATGGGTGGAGTCAGGAGAAAGGGATGTGTGAAAGAATGAGAAGATTTCTTCCCAATAGTTCCAACAAGGTAGATGTTCTTGCCCTATAAGTTTAGAATAAAGGGAACAGGAGGAAAGGGTCTCTTCTATACAGAGGCCCGGAAGAGAACAAGTAGCTGCTGTTAGCCAGTCACCAGATATGTATTGAGTAAATGTCCTACACCAGGCATTGGATATCAAGCTCATTTCAGTTCCTGTGCCATGCCCTGTGCTTTGCAAACTCTGACTTCTCAGTAAAATGTGTGGATTCGCTGATTCTTAGCTCCCTGATGACCTGAGTCCTCTCTCTCTTTCTTTCACTTTCTCTCTCTCCCTCCCTCTTCTCCTCCCCCTCCTCCTCTGTTCTGGAGAAGGAGATTCTCTCCTTTTCTCCCATTTTCAAATCTGGGTACAGTACCTATTTGACATATTTCCAAGGCTAAAGCAACAGCCAAGTACTAAAAATATAAGCTAGCAATGAGAAAAACAAGCAGGTAAATTTTATGTAATGTTGTAGTTTCATAATATTTTATCTGTTTTGTGGTCAGCAACAAAGCAAACAGATAAAAATTGTCTCTACTATTCCAGAAATACTATTCATGCCTTTTAGTACCCTTATAAGCAAGCCCCTTCTTATGAAACAGTTCCTTTCCTATAAATCAGATAAGCAAAAGTATTGCATAAAATAAGGTTTTTGTTTTCCTGTCATGATATCCTTTAAGCCTGGAGGGAAAAAGACAAGAAAATACAGTCTGCATCATGTTGAACTCACCGAAGACTCACTGATGGTCCTCCATGTAGCCTAGTTGGTCAATGCAAGTACACAACATTCTGGAAAATAGGCAGGAGTGGTAGGAGGAACCAAGGAAAGTTGGAGTTTAGTTAGGCATGAAATGAGATTCCAGAAGTAAAACAGATAGAAAACAAGGAGAATCATCAAAAATGGGGAAGAGCTAAAAGATATTTTGCTCTGTGTTCTTTCCTACGACACAGTAGTGCAAAACTAAAGTAGCCCAGTGCACTTGCCACAGAGTGAGTGCCCGCCATGTTCCAGATACTAGACATTCTCTCACATCCTCATAAAGATCCTGCTAGGGAAGCATTTTCATCCTTCTATCCCTTTTACAGATAATGGCTGAGGCTCAAGGTGGTGAAACAACTTGCTCAAGGTCACTAGCTGTTACGTACCATAGCCAGGGTTCAAACCTTAATTTATCAGATTCCAAAGCCATTGTCCTCTCTGCCATTTCAAACTACCTGCCAGTGTGGTAAGTAGCTGTTCCAAAAATACTTGTCAAACTAATACATAAACGTAAGAAGGTGCAGGAGAAATGGACTCCAAAATATGGGACGCAACTATTAGGAGGAGGAAATGTATCTAAGACTTGGATGAGAATTTTGCATTTTCTGAAAATGTGTATTTGGTAGTGAGATATGGTTGATGCATAGAGAGAGAAAGAAGAAGACTACAAGCAACGAAAAGTTGGAGCAGGGCACGGTGACTCACGCCTGTAATCCCAGCACTTTGAGAGGCCGAGGCAAGTGGATCACCTGAGGTCAGGAGTTCAAGTCCAGCCTGGGCAACATGGTGAAACCCTGTCTCTACTAAAAATACAAAAATTAGCTGGGCACGGTGTCACGTGCCTGTAATCCCAGTACTTGGGAGGCTGAGGCAGGAGAATTGCTTAAGCCCAGGAGGGAGAGGCTGCAGTGAGCCGAGATCCCGCCACTGCACTCCAGCTTGGGTGACAGAGCGAGACTCCGTCTCAAAAAAAAAAAAAAAGAAAGAAAAAAGTTGTTAGACAGTAACAAGTGTTATTTTACAGAACAGTTTCCCTAGGGAAGTAATGGAAGCTATCATAAGATCACTGAAATCCTGCTTAATATAATATTAATGAGGATTTTTGAAAAAAAAAACACTCATCTTGGCAGCAAAAACACTGATTAGTCGTCATGTTGATTCCATTTATTTCAATGATGTTGTACTGCAGAATTTATGTGACTCCTAATTAACTCAAGACTATAAAATATAAAAGTATCATATTCATTGGGCAAGCCATAGAATGTATATTTCAGCACTTAAGTGAAATTAACAAATGATAATGATATTTATCTCTGGGGATATTAGATACTAATAACATTGATTATTCATGTAAGTGCCAAGTATTTTTATAATCTTACAGTTCTACTTTAATAAATACTATCATTAATTCAATCCTATGATGCTAAGTTCTACAGGTTAATTATATATGTTAGGTTATTTTCTTGTTACCAATTTCAGTTATTTTTAACTGGGTTTTCTTTTGTTTGAAAAAGACCTAATCACCTTCATTAAATTGAGTGATTTAATTTAATCATTTAAATAATTAAATAGAGTGCCTTCTTTAATTAGCTTAGCTAACTATGAAATCTACTGAATTAGCAATTTCATGGTTTCCCTCCTTATACCTAATACCATAGTTGATGCTGCATTCCTTATGTAGACTTAGGATAGATTTTCAGCAATGATGTAATGTTATTTTTTAAAAAGTGAGTTTTCCGACCAGGTGCAGTGGCTCACACCTGTAATCACAGCACTTTGGGAGGCTGAGGTGGGCAGATCACCTGAGGTCAGAGTTTGAGACCAGCCTGACCAACATGGAGAAACCCCGTCTCTACTAAAAATACAAAATTAGCCAGGCATGGTGGCACATGCCTGTAATCCCAGCTACTTGGGAGGCTGAGGCAGGAGAATTACTCGAACCTGGGAGGCAGAGGTTGCAGTGAGCTGAGATTGCGCCATTGCACTCCAGCATGGGCAACAAGAGCAAAACTCTGTCTCGAAAAAAAAAAAAGCGAGTTTACCATTTCCTTTCAAATAACCTGCTTTTCCTGCTGAGTATCCTCTTCCCCTTCTATCATCCCTGTCACCAGATCATCACACTCTGCATCACTTCTGTGATATCACCACCACCTTCACCACTGTCACCACTACCACTACCATTACCACCAAGTCCTGCATGTATTTTTCTGGCATATTGATCTACTCTTGTGGTTTGTGAGATTGAGCTTGCCCCCAAGAATATACCGAGCCCTCATAAAACAATCTTGTCAGACATGTGGTCCCTATCTTCCAGAAGGAGCTTAACCCTCTCTTGCCTTATTCTCCACTTCTTTTCTTCAAAAGTTTTCCATTCAAACTAGCTCACTTACTATTTCCTTTCTGTAACCTGGTCCCCACTCCTTCCATTCATACTAACTTCCACTTAGATTGCTTTCCTTTCCCAAACTACCAAGATCCAGTGCAAACACCATGCTCTCCAGGAAGCCTTTCATGTTCTCTTCCCCAACTGTAATTCCTGTCTCTTCTAAACCTCCATCTCTGCATGTCCTTTAAACTAATTATCACTGTCTACCTTTTATTCTAATATTTCATGTTTTCCTCATAGTATAGTTTAATAAATGTTTGTTGATCACAGTTTTATGGTGTTGGTCACAGTTTTACCTGCAGGAGTTACATGTCTTTTGCTTCCACTCGAAAAAGAATGGAGGTGTCGAAAAAATAGGTGGATGCCTTTAAGATACAACTGACCAACGGCCCTGAACTTTCCACCTCAACCTGATATTCTGGGCTGAATTAAGAAAAAAAAAAGCATCCTCATAGCTGTGGAGGGGAAATTAATAAACCTTGATTCTGAGAAATATGAAGAAGTCATTTCCCTTTATTCTTCGTTTGGTGACACCATAAACTGGTCTGATAGACATAGCCAAAGAACAGCTTTCTCTATCATTGTCTTCTCATGTTCACTATGCCTTCTCAGAACCTAAAGGCTGGAAGGCGTAATGGAGCAGAAATTTTCTGCCCTGTTAGACACGGTAGTCTGTACCTAATGGTTCTGATGCCTTTAAATGCCCTCCATGATTATGGGATGGGAAGAGGGGAGTGTGTAATGTGGTGGGCACAAACTGGCCTGAAGAGACAGACCAATCTCAATTTAAATACTGGCTTTAGTACTTTCTAAAAGTCATTTCATTTCTTGAAGTCTCAGCTTCCTCATCTGGTAAAAAAAATGTGAATAACATCTACTATCCCATAAGATTTTTAGATGGATTTGAGTTTAAGTAGACAGACAGAGAGACATTCTCTAGAACAATACCTATTATTCCAGAAAAAAAATGACATAGTGTTTTCAATTTTGCCAGTAACTTCAATTGGAATGGATTCCATATTTACCAAATTTAGAACCGTAATGTAGTTTGGGATCTCAGACAAATAGTAAGACCAGTATATATACCAAAGGTCTAAGGCTACCCAGACAATTGTGTTGATATTAAGTAAATCAGAGATCAGGGCAGTAAATATTTATAGCAAATACAAGCCATGGAAAGCTCTATTGTGTCTTAGGAATGAAGAGTGACTCATGCATTGCTGCATGTTCAGACAAGGAGTGGTTGAGGAAGAAATCACCTTTTTTCCAGTTACCCAGCAAAGCTTTGGGGAAGAGGTGAAAATAGGGGAAGAAAGGGGCCTAGCTCAGCTAAGAATAGGTGGTGTGTCCAGAAACAGGGTTTAAGGATTAAAAGATAATGAGTTTATTAGCTCACCTAAAGAGAACTCACAGGGACTAGAAAACAGAAAAATAAGAAACACCTGGGTTTCTTTTCCTGGCACATACTTGCACGATCTCTCTGAGACTCATTCTATCATTTACTCACCCATTCATTCATTCATTCATCTATTCAGTCATTTACAAATATTTAGTTAGAAATCATGTACTGAGCAATGAGTAATGAACACACTGTGGAGGGATAGAAATGTCTTGAGTGTGTAATTATGAAAAGATAGATGTATTCCATAAGAAAACCCTCATTTCAATTTCACTTCTTTTTTTTTTTTTTTTTTTTTTGAGACAGAGTCTTGCTCTGTCATTTCACCCAGGCCGGAGTGCAATAGCGTGATCTCGGCTCACTGCAACCTCCACCTCCCAGGTTCAAGCAATTCTCCTGTCTCAGCCTCTCAAGTAGCTCCCAACTACAGGCACAGGCCACCACACCCAGCTAATTTTTGTATTTTTAGTAGAGACAGGGTTTCACCATGTTGGTCAGGCTGGTCTCAAACTCCTGACCTCAGGTGATCAGCCTGCCTTGGTCTCCCAAACTGGTGGGATTACAGGCATGAGTCACAGCCCGGACACCTCATTTTATTTCTTGATTTGATGAGGGATTTAACTAGATAATTATGTATCTCTGCCATCTCCAAAACTGAAATTCTGAGTGATGAAACTCACTTTGCCAGTTTGCACTTTGCAATTTGGCAAAGGTCATCAAACAGAATATTTCCCGTTTCCAATGTTCAGCACATCTGACAACCCTGAAGGGCTCCTATTACCTATGCATGCACTTGTGCACACACTTGTCCCCACAGGCCTGCAGACCTAATGACACACAGATATGTCTGGGAGTGGCACTAAGCACTCAGGGAAATGTGGACATTAGAAAATTATCTTGGGAAATTATCATGGGTTTAAAATCATGCATTGAGGTCAATATGCAAATAATTGCATCAAGTATTTACTCTTTATGAGATAATACTACTAAAATATTATCTTCTAAGGATTAAATTTTTGGTCTATTTCTATCCAATGAATTTCTTTTAAATCTGCAAAGTGAAGACATTTTCTCATGTTTCAAATATGAAAACAATGAGTTCTGATGATTTAAAAAAATCTCAAGTAACTTAAAATTGTTTAGTGCTAAAACTGCAAGTATCTCCCTCTTCTAGTGTTTGAGTCACTTATCTCAGATGTATTAGTCACATTCCTTAAGGCTGAACTTCATTTTATTAATTTCTGAAAATTTCTCCTTATGTAAGGAGATCTGGAGCTCTGCAGGAGCATTAGAACAAGATCAGTCTGTTCTTAACGTGACAAATTATACGGTTTCTATGTGAACATTGCCCTTCTTGATTCAGAGTCAGAAAGCATGAGAGTTGAGATGACTCACAGTTTCCCGACACTGGAGGAACTAGTTTACTTCTGCAGCCCCTTAAATACCATCAGAGACTGACTTGATTCTTCCTAAGTACAAGCAACTTTTGGAAAATCACATTCTAGGTAAGTGAGATAGTGTGGATAATGTACAATCTCAGTGGAAATTTAGCAATAGAATTGTATCAGTCAAAATCAGAAAAGGAACTAACAAAGCCCTTTGTTAACCCCCATGTTGCCCCTCGATAAAATCAATATTTAAACATTTTAGACAGATGTTTATACAGTAAGGTGACTTGGTAATGTTAATATTGGCGAGGAATACCAATGTCTTGATATTCCTTTACAAACAGGTTTCAAATTACAAAAAATAAGTCACAGATAGATGTATCAATAACATACCAATGCTCAGAGCACCCCCCTAAAGCCCAGGAAGCTGGGCTGCCCTTCTCTACTTGGCTGAAATATTGCCATTTTCCTCCGCAGCCTCAAATTCTAAAACTATACTATGAGTTATTTTTGCTTAAAGGCCATGAGTGTCAGAATTGCAGTCCAATCTATCTCAATATTTGCATATGTAATAGTAGAATGAGTTCATAGGTAGAAAAAAAATAAATCTTATAGCCCCTGTTAGGTAAATTACATAATTTTCTTCTGCCAAGATTCCTTCATCTATTTTATCAAAAAAGGATAATGAGATCTATCTCACTAGCATTTGTGAATATTAAAAAACAGCATTTAAAGTGCCATTCTGCAGATGTTAGTTAACATCCTCTTCTCTTCTTAAAAAGTCATGGAGTTTTTCACCACAAAAATAGATTGAATAAGGATATATATGACATTTTTCAAAAGAGTTCAAAAGAAAAAATAATTTGCCAAAGAAAAGAATCACAAAAGGACTAATGAAAGCTCTAGATCAAAGACCGCCTACTATTATAGTAGTTACCAAACAAACTACACTCACCAAGCTAAGCCTGGGATCACCCGATCACAAACAACTCCAACACTCCCCTGGCTGGGACATCCTGGAGTCTGTTGCAAGTGGGCCACTTGGTGACAAGCAAGGGTTCTGGTGACAGGAAGAGCTTTCTCGCACAGTCCACCTCCAGCCCACGCCATCCTCCTCAATCTCCTGGGCTTAAGCAGTATGGAGGCAGAAGCCAGAGCTTAGGAACAATAACAAATGTGTCATCTCTATCAAATCCTTTCTGAAAAGACGGAGTATGTGAAAGAAGAAATAAACAAATTTTAGAGCTGGGATGCAACCATTATGAAAAGTAGAAAGAGCGTGGACTTTGGAGTCAGACACTTGCTCTCTGCCACTTCCTAGCTGTGTGTCTTCTGACAAGTTCCTCAAGCTCCCAGGCTCAGTTTCCCCATTGTCATATGGAGTAATAATAGCTGCTAAGGAGGTCTATTCTGAGGATGAATAGATACAGTATACGTAAGATGATGTGGCCAGGTTCCCAGAACCTGGGCTGCCCTATAGATATTAATGCTCTTCCAATGTACATAGATGCACTGACCTCAGAACAGCATTTGATGTACTGGGAAGAAATGGAGAGAGAAGATAGAAAAAAGGCCACTAATAGCAAATAATTGAAGTAGTGGCAATAGTAGTAGTAATAATATGTTGAAAGAATGGGCAAGGAGCTAGCCCACCAGCCTAATACTGATTCAGAGTTAGAAAATGCAGAAAATATGATATTTTCAATAATGTTATGAAAAAGAGGAAATGAGAGTTACAGAAAAGCAAAGAACTTCATCCTTTATCAAGATGATTTGTCCCTCATAGTGAACTATCCAAAATACAAAAAGGCTGGAAGATTCATACATTCAGTTAGCCCATAAATACCAGTAATTACCAAGTTAAAAATAAAAAAGAATAACATTGATTGTGGGTTTTTTTCTGATAATAAAGATGGAAAAATGATGTCAATTTGGAAAATTTAAGTACAGAAGAGTTTAAACAAGAAAATAAAAAGCATTAAATTTATCTAGACATATATCATGTGCTTACCCATTTGTTTATTTATTCAACAAATACGTATTTTTTCATTCAACACATAAGCCAGGCACTGTTCTAAGTAATGGAGATCCAACAGTGAGCAACAAGAAAAAGTCCCCAGCTCAAAGGGCTTACATTCTACTGGAGAGAGAAAGGATGAAAAAGGAAAACAAGTCACTTGCTCCTAAGGGCTATTTAAAAAGAAGGTTGGGGGGAGCTTTCTAAGGGAGAGAGGAAATACTGGGGTGAGACTGGAATGTCTTTAAAAATGGGTATGCACGCAAGGAGATGGCTCTTATGCAAAGACTTTCAGGAGGTGACAGCACCAGCCATGTGGAGCATTCCAGGCGGAGGTAAGTGTAGATGAAAAGAACGAGAAGGTGTTCGGTGAGAATTAGCGACACAAGGGGCTAGTGGGGCTGAACCCGAGTTTTTTTGGTTGTTGTTTTTTTATTTTATTTTATTTGTATTTATTTATTTATTTTTGAGACAGAATCTTGCTCTGTCGCCCAGGCTGGAGTGCAGTGTCGCGATCTGGGCTCACTACAACCTCTGCCTCCTGGGTTCAAGTGATTCTCCTGCCTCAACCTCCCAAGTAGCTGGGATTACAGGCGTGCACCACCACACCTGGCTAATTTGTTACTTTTAGTAGAGATGGGGCTTCACCATGTTGGCCAGGCTGGCCTCAAACTCCTGGCCTCAGGTGTTCTGCCCGACTAGCCTCCCAAAGTGCTGAGATTATAGGTGTGAGCCACTGGGCCTGGCGAAACCGAAAGTTTGAGAAAAGTGGTGGGCAATGAGTTCAGAGAGAGAGCAGAACGTCAATCAGGAAGGCTTTTGCAGGCCAATACACAGAACTGGCTTTGCTTTTGGAGGCTTCCGAACAGAGAAGTGACATGACTTGATGCATGTTAAAGGCTCAATCTGTCTCTGGCTGTTGTGCTGAGAAAAGGGAATGGAGGGAGGAAGGGCTAGTGCAAAGACCCCAGTTAAGAGATCTCTGCAGTCACCTAGGCAGGAGATGATAGAGGCAGGAGCCAGAGAAGAAGTTGGAGATCGTGGAAAGGGATCAGATTCTGGACACTTTGAAAGGAGAGGTGAATGGATTGAATGTGGGTGTGAGGGAAAGAAAGAAATCAAAACAGACCCCCAGATGTTTGACTTGAGCAATTGGAAGGATGAAGTTTCCCTTTATCAAGATGGGGAAGACTAGAGGAGAAACAGATTTAACAATTTATGGCTAGAAATTTAAAAATCTGAATGTAGACACATAAAGTTTGAGATGATTATTGGCTATCCATGTGGAGATGTCTAAAAGATATCAGTGATAGGCATATGTTATATACGTATGTAAATAACAAAGAAGAATCATACACTATACTTTATTCAGTTTTGTAATATGTTAGAAGTATTTTTTCCTAATCTTAAATGTTCTTTGAGAACATTATTTTAAAACTTTATAATATCCCTTGCTATATCTTAACATTCATCTACTTTTATACATTAGTTTCAGTTTATTATTATTAATATATTATGGTTTAATAAAAATCTTTGACAGCCTCACTGTCTCCTTAAAGGACTCATCCAGTTACAAGGTCGAAGAGTGTGAAGTCTTTTAAAACACGATACATATTGAATTGCATTACCAAAAGCCTATACCAATCTAGAGTTCACTCCTAGGTCTCAGAGTACCCACCTGTTTAACTACATATACTTTTGCCAAAATAGAAGATGATCATTTTCAAAAGTTTTTTCCAATTCTATAAGTAAAATACCTATCAATGTTTAATTTGCATTATCTCACTTTTAGTTAATTTAAGCATTTCTTCACAAATGTATGTGCCTCTTGACTTTTTTTCTTTTGTAAATTATACCTTGCTCTCCTTTGAATTGATCACTTCTGAAGTTTTCATTTAGTGTTGAAATAATGACTGTAATAACAGTAGTAGCTAACATGAATTATATGCTAAGCAGTGCATTAAGAAATTGACATGTGTTACTCTTCACAACCTTATTATTTAATATTAATACTCAGTTTACAGGTGAGAAAATTTTGGATTAACAAGATGGGATGACCTGCGTAATGTTATACAACTAGTCAGTGTTTGAGCCAGGATTTGAACTTAGCCTGACTCCAGAGCCCACCAAAAGTAATCATAGTCAGTAATTTGAGAAGAGAACAAGTTCAGAAACTATAGAAAAGTTTGAAATGTAAGATCTGAATTTACTCAGGTAAGACTTTACTAGGACAAACAAATCCAGTTTAGAAATGTTATTTGAGCAATTCAGCTACTCTACCTAATTGAATATCTATCCGGGGCAAAGGTTCATAAAAGATGCTGGGGAAATGTAAAGGACCACTTGATGAGCTCATTTCAGAAATGTGAACTAAGTTTCTTACCCCAAATACATCTGACCTATTTTCAGATGGAAAGTTCTACTAGTTTTGAATTTACTGAAATTATTTTAAGAAGAAATGTTAGAAGGAAAAATATGGGGTACCTTAAAAAGATTCTTTTGAAGAATAATTGCTTTTTCTTATAGTAGATGTTCTCAATAAATACATACTACTTATAATTCATTTTTTTCTTAATGTAATGAAATATTTTTAGAAAGGACAGTGAAAGCCAGGTGCGGTGGCTCATGCCTGTAATCCCAGCACTTTGGGAGGCCGAGGTGGGTGGATCACTTTAATCCAGTATTTCTAGACCATCCTGGCCAACATGGTGAAACCCCGTCTCTACTAAAAATACATAAATTAGCCCAGCATGGTCGTGCGTATCTGTAGTTCCAGCTACTTGAGAGGCTGAGGCAGGAGAATTGCTTGAACCTGGGAGGCAGAGGTTGCAGTGAGCTGAGAACATGGCACTGCACTCCAGCCTGGGTGATACAGCAAGACTCCATCTCAAAAAAGAAAACAATACAAAAAACAAAGGACAGTGAAGCCCCTTATTCCTTCCCTACAGCCAGCCCCTGGCCTCCTTGGATGTACCTTCCTTGGCAGATCTTTATTTTCCCAAATATATAGATATATAGTGAGCAGCCAACCTGCCTAGGGCAGCTGCAGCGTCATTAAGATGATTCTTGCATTGTAGGATCAAAGTTTCACTCTAAGTAAGCATTGTAGGTGGCTGTGCCTGTGGCAGTGAATCAGGAGTAGCTCCTCCTAAGGAGGAATATACTGAGGGATTAGGTGAAGAACGCTGCAGGTTGTACAAGGTCTTTGTCAAAGCCCTGGGAACATTCCATTTTCTCCAGGCCATGAGCAGTGAGGAGCAGCCAAGACAAGTGTATCTCCTACTCACCTCTGAGTGAAGCTGAACAAGAAAATTTCCCTACATACTCACATGGCTCATAAAATGAACAAATACATTGTTAACTGATTCCTGCATTGGCCATTCAAACCTTTAGGAGGCATACATATCACCCTTGAAAAGCTGGAAGCGATGAAGTCAAGGGAGGTTTAAACTATAGCAGGACCCTGAAGCAGATCGAGCCATCACTGAGGGATCTTGCTCTGTGGCTTAGGAAGACAATGGACATGAACAATGTCATATGCTCCAAGACCTGCTGAAGTCATGCCCCCTCTGATCTTCAGAAGGACACAAATATATTTTAAAAGGCCACTAGGTCGCATTAAAGCTTTTTTTTTTTTTCCCAAAGGCAACTGGGAACTCTTCAATCACAAATTTATGGAAATTAATGTAATAATCATTATCATAATATAAATAATTGCCATTTGATAAACCTTCCTATGTACCAGGCATCACACTATACATTTCACAGAGCAATCTCCTTTAATACTCACTAATAACTCTTGAGAGTAGATATAACTCCTATCGTCATTTCACATGTCCCTAAGGTGACACGGTTAGTAAATGGCAGAGTTGAGAGGCCAATCAGATCTGTCTCATGGCAAACAGTGAGAGCTTAATTATGACACTTTCTCCTCTGAATTAGGCAAGATGGTTTTGTTATAACTGTCTTTTATATTTGAGCTATAATATATGCTAACCTTAACTTTTATGTTTGCCTTAATTTCTTAGTTGTATTTTCTTCCTGCCTCAGTATTCTCATTTATTAACTTATTGCTTCTATTTGTTAGTTCTTATTAAATCCTGGAGAGAGAACATAAATAAATGAAATAAACAAGTAACTTTACTTATATATTACTTTAAAGTTCAAAGACTTAATAAACTCAAAAAAAGAATAAATACATTCATTGCCGAATGCAAACATAGTTATGAATCAAAATGCCTTGGGTACTTAATAACATATTGCACATTGCAATATTGAGTAAAGATAGGAAATAGAGCATATACCATATCCACCATGGGATTACCAATAACTTTTATTACCACAATAGAATTGATTTCTCCATTTCGAAATTCTGAAAAACAATCTCTGTGAAAGCTTTTCAGTCAGCAAAAGTGATTAAGACATTTACTATACGTCTTATTCACAAGCATCCCTGAAAGCAGAGTGCCCACTCACAATGATTAGTTAGTGGGTCAGCCTGAATCATAAGAAAGAATGAACCTGACTGAATCACCCGTTCCACTTCCTGTAGCACCTGGTTTTCTTTGGGTTGTTGCCACTCACAAATTGTCCCAGCCAAAGCCTATTCAGCTTATGAAACCTGATAAGGTCACAACCAGAGGTAGTGTGGTAGTGAGATTCACTACAGTGCTGGTGTAAGAGTTGGGAAATCCATGACTATCTAAAACCAATACACATTTATCTACACAGTTTTATGATATATGGAACCGTATTGTTACCAGTCATCTAGACAAAGCCTTACTATTGACGCACTGGAAAGCAATGCAGGAAACTACCAATACGTGTCAAAATGAATATTGGAGTTCTTAACATTTCAAAATGATTGAGGTACAAAGTGTCTATTAAATGTGGCCGGTGCTCCTGTGAGTCATCAACCCCACCACTGTTCTCACATGAGAACCATTCTTGCTGCACAGCTTGAGAGCCTCTCAGTGCCTCCTTCTATGAAGGCGTAACCCAAACTCATCATCTCCACCTTCTAGGGGTAAGGAGGGAGATCTCATCTGTGTGAGCTGGAGAAGAATCATTACTTGAATGGAAAATATTTTAAAATAATATTTTTGTTTCAGCTTGAGGAGGGCAAGCAATGAGACAGAGAGAAAGAGAGAGAGACTGCTTAGACAATCCTTGTTTGCATTCATTGTAAAAAAAAATACCATGATATGAAACCTATAGATTCAGACCCCTCTTACAAGCCTGCCAATGGGCAAGTCATCTCTTGTGAGTAGATTTACGTGAACTCAGCTCATAGCAACTGATCTATAAATCATTTGCTATGAGAAATTCAACTGTCAGTTATGAAGATTCCTTGAAGAGCTAAAGGTAAATCTACAATTCGATCCAGCAATCCCACTACTGGGTATCTACCCAAAGGAAAAGATGTCATTATATGTCATTATATGAAAAAGATGTCATTATATGAAAAAGACACTTGCACACATATATTTATAACAGCGTAATTCACAACTGCAAAGATGTGGAACCAACTTACGTGCCCATTGACTAATGAGTCAATGATATATATATATATCTCACATTTTCTTGTATATATATATATATATATATATATATATACACACACACACACGAAATATATATGTATATGTATGTATTTATTTCTTGTATATATTATTTCTTGTATGTATATATAAGAAATATATATATATACACACACACACTGTGGAATACTACTCATTCATTAAAAGGAATGCAATAGTGTCTTTTGCAGCATCTTGGATGGAGCTAGAGGCCATTATTCTAAGTGAAGTAACACAGGAGTGGAAAACCAAAAACCGTTATGTTCTCACTTATAAATGGGAGCTAAGCTATGAGTACACAAATAAAAAATTTGGGGTACAAGTGGTTGAAATAAAAAATATATATATAAAGAAATTCAACTGTCAGGAAGGTTGGAAGATCAGTACACTTTATCCCACCACCCAGCCAGGTGGAAAGGCAAATCATCTGAAGGTTGCATGGTGAGGAGCATGGAGGGAATCAGAATGGAGGACTGAGCTGACCTTAAACAGCATGAGATCCTCAGCCAGTAGAGGAGGGTCTTGCCAAGTCTCCCCTGAGATTTGGCTTCTGTGACTCTCAACATTTTCTAGGCCTCCGTATTTGATGAGCCTTGTTATCAGAGATGTTTCCTCCAAGTCAGGAAAGGAAACAAATGTTTGAGTTTCCACAAACTGAGTACAAAGTTACAACCACATTGTCTTTCTTTCTCATATTCCAGTCTTTCTTTCTCATATTCCTCCGTTTACCTAAGTTGAAATGATAGTATTTCCCAAATTCTCAATTCACCATATACAGATGGCTAATCATATCCATTGTGTAAGAATTTTGCAATTCTAACTTCATGGAAAGTTAATGTTTTAAAAAAGAGCACCTTATTTTCAAAATTCTGGGGGATACCTTACTATCACCCTCATACACTGACATCAGCTTTTAATTCCCATTTGAGAACAACCATCAGAAAACTACCAAAAAGCAACTGCCTAGATTGTAGCCATGTCAGACAAATTCATCTAAAATATTCTATTTATTCTAACATGAATTATTTTGTAGATACACAGGCACTCTCAAAATGGTCATAAATTCCTACACAAAAGGAAAATTATAACTACGTCCTTTGTTACTTAAGTTGACTCTATCAGTAAGGCTAAAAAAAAAAAGTGAATGTCTGACCAGGACCTTCTAAGTTGTTCACAAGGTTTTGGCTATGACATTGTAACTCTACTTCAGAACAGAGATTTCCAGAAATCTTCCCTCAGAAATAGCAACTGCATTGCTAAATGAGCCATGCCTGGTTGTTCTGTCTGCTTCCTTCCTGCTTTGTGGACAAATTCTTATTTATACAATCATGGCATTTAAGTACTGGATGAGACCTAAAGAAATTCCAGTTAAGCCTTCTGCTTTAACCCAACACCACATCAGATTACCCAGGGCTTACCTCTTCAATTCTTAAAGATTTCCTGGAGCAAAGACCCACAATTTCCCTCCCTAGTAAGTTCTAGAGTTTAATCAAGAAGTTTTTTCTTGTGTGTAAACATAAGCTTTCTTGCGGCAACTTAAGCCCATTTCTATTTCTGATCTCTATGGAAATAGAGAACCAAGAATACTTGTTTCTTTAATAAATAACATTCCATAGACTTGAAAACACTGAAGTTTTCCCTAATTGCTTTCTTTTCAAATTACATTTCCCACAGCCCTTTAACTTTTCTTCATCTATTCTATTTCCCAATATTTTAATTATCTTTGTTTCTTTTTGGGTGCTTAACAAATTTTTTAAAGGCCATGTAAAATTCAGACAGATCCAATTATACTTAAAATGGTGTAATAAGTTTCCAATCGTTTCTCCAAATAAATATTTTATTCCACTTCCCATATCATTAAATTGTGACTACATCTTGTAATATGTTGGCATTAGGTGGGAAAAGAAGCTGTATGTGGATGACCCTCTATGGCTTTGTCTCTTCTTCAACTTCAGTTTGGGGTTACTGATGCTCAGAACTTTCCTCCAATATTTCCTCTTACCTTTAGACTCTCCGCTTTTCTCAAATAGGAATCATCAGTCAACTCAAAGCAGGATGTCCCACCCCTCAACCCAAATTCCAAATTTCTCCAACGAGTCTAAAGTCATTGCCTCAGCAGTTGGAGCCAATTCCACACTGTGTTAAACATGAAGTCGTTTCTTTATGATTTCTCTGGACCATGAACATTCCCATAAGCAGCCTCAACATAGTGAACCGATTATCATGACTACTACATGCCTTTATATCAGGAGTTGGATTGTGATTTTAACAATCCAGTTGAGACAGAACCTTAAAATGAGAAATTTGCAAGCAGTGGCAAGGAGGTGCTTAGGAAAGGCCATCAAAATGATAAGAAAAATAAAAAGAGAAGTGTTTCATGATTGCCATCATGTGGGATCATTATGGCTATGTTTTGTGAAAATTCCTGTAGCAACAATTGGCTGAAGCTAAGGGGTTGGGGAGGCAATGATTAGGAATCCAACATAAGAAATAAAATAACGGAAAGAGCTAAACTTGATGTAATTCAAATAGCAAATCATCATTCCTGTAAATAACTCAACGACATGTCCTTAGTTCCTTTAGGTTTTATTTCATCATCGTCACATATTGAGAAGCTACATAGCCTGGTGCTTAAGAGCATAGGCACTGAGGTCAGACAGTCTGTGTTCAACTCCTGAGTTTATCTCTTTAAGAGTTCTCTAATAAAGTTGTGTAAATTACAGCTTGTTTTCCTTTTTAAAAATCTATCTCACAAATGCTTATCATACACTAAGAATTTTTGTAAATTCTTTTTTGTTGTTGTTGTTGTTGTTGTTGTTTTGAGACGGAGTCTCGCTCTGTCGCCCAGGCTGGAGTGCAGTGTTGCGATCTCGGCTCACTGCAAGCTCCGCCTCCCGGGTTCACGCCATTCTCCTGCCTCAGCCTCCCGAGTAGCTGGGACTACAGGCGCCCGCCACCACGCCCGGCAAATTTTTCGTATTTTTAGTAGAGACGAGGTTTCACCGTGTTAGCCAGGATGGTCTCGATCTCCTGACCTCGTGATCCTCCCACCTCGGCCTCCCAAAGTGCTGGGACAACAGGCGTGAGCCACCGCCCCCGGCCAATTTTTGTAAATTCTTCACAAACATTGATTCATTGAATCGTTGTAACAACCCGATGAGGTAGAAGTTATTATAATCTCTGTTTACAGATGGAGAAATGAAGGCCAAGGGAAATTTATTGCCCAAGGCCACACCTAGAAAATGGAAGATTCAGGCTTTGAGCCGAGTGGCCCGGATTCAGGCTCTGCTCTATCACTACCCCTGGGCGAGGGGGGAGGCGGGGTATCAGGATTAATAGAAATCACTTTCCATCGCCTGGGAAAAAATAAGTACTCAGTAAGTGGTAGGCTTTGTGCATTTGCGTGTATGTGGTGATGGTAATTATGTTCTTAACGTTATTTTCCAAAGTGAACAGGCTATGATCCACTATGTATGAGGCTGACTTCCAAGGGTGTGGTAGGAAGTGGCACTGCTGATCAGCAGGTGGAGCTCTTTTCTCTCATTATATATTTACCCCAATACCACCAACAACAACCATTTCCTCCACCCTTGTATCGTGAGTTCATTGGGTAATGCTCGCTATGTCTAATATTCAACTGAGACTCCATTCAGCGCCATCATAAAACTTTATATAAAAAGGCTTTGATAATATTAAAACTTTTTATCAAGCTGCATTTGCGCAGAATCTATAAAGTCTAATAATGCTCATTTTGTGCCTCTATTCAGTTGAATAAAGTTGATATTTGTTATATGAAGATTTGTTGAGAGTAACAGGTAAAATATGCCGTGACATGTATATAACAGCTGTTAAAATACTTAGCTTACATAGTCATAGCGCATTATACACTTAATTTCAAATTGTGTTTGCATAAATTTACAACTCTGAGCAAGGCAGGTCTAGGATAATTATACCCATTTAGCAGATTAGAATAGTAAGGCCAGAGACATTAGATGAAGTTAACTGAATACGAAAACATTCTTATTGGGACACGGGATTTTCGGCTCTTTCTAGGCTTCTTCCACTATAATATGTTGGTTGTTACCGATGCTCTGTGAGTAACTGTTGTTTCCTTCCTTACCTTTTTTATCCTGTGCTGTACTGAAAATCCAGGTGGCTATATCAAGACACAGATTAACTCAGTGACAAAACAAACGAACAACAAAAACAAACAAACAAAAAACCAAAACACTGGGTCTGAATTCTGCCTTTACCACTTAGCTATGTGAGCTTGGACAAATTACTTACTCTCTCTGTGGTTTGGTTTTAATTGGGGCTACTGATTGGATCTACTTAGTAGGATTGTTGAAGGGAGTGAATGACTTGATCCAATAAGGCATTTAAAGCAGTTCCCAGCCCTTAGAGAGCATGCAAGAATTGTTAAGCATATCATTAGCTACTCTTTCTCCCCGCCCTCCTTCCTTGCTGCCTCCATTCTACAAACATTTTTGGAGTACTTGTGTGGAACCAGGAAGCCACAAGAGAGACACTAGGAATGTGAGACCAGGACTTAAAGTTAGGCTTTCAAGGACCAGCTATGCTACTGGAGAGAGAGAACACCCAGCAAGAGCCTTCAGGGATCTCAAACAAGAGGGAGAGAAGGCAAGCAGAGAATTAATCCACTGTCACCAACGTGTTCATGTTTTGTTTTCCTCAGCAGAAGTAATCACTCATTCATTAAGCAAACGTTTATTGAGCACGGTTCTCTGTTCTCCATTCAGTTTGTGGTGCAAAGTGCTGAGGAGATTTAAAACAAAAGTAGGTCAGATATGGTTTCTATCCCCCAACAACTAAAATCTAATTCAGAAGACAAGAAATGTGATAAATAAATATCGAAGGCAGACGATACATACCATAAGAAAGGGGTGAGATTCTTTTATAGTCATTCCTACAGTTAGTACAATAATCACTCAACATTTATTGGATGCAGCAATTAATGTGATATGATCTCATTTCTAAAACTTTGTATCAGCATAGAAGATCATTGAGGAAAATAAATTGGGTGAGTGGGATGAGATATATTTTTATTTCCTTATTTTCATTGTAATGATAGTGTAATAAAATATCTTAATAAGAGAAAGCTTACTGAAGAAAATATTATGAAGTGCCTTTCAACTTTTTACTAGGAAGCTCAAATAGTCCTTCAGGCAAGGCAGTTTAGTGAAAAGAAAATGAGTGGGGTAGACAGGAGACAGAGGTCTCACCCTTGCTCTTTGCTTGACCTTGAAAAATTCATTTAACTTCTTACTAACTTCAGTCGGGTCTATGTAATGGAGATCATAAAAAATGCATTGCTTCAATCTCAAGAATGCTAAAGAGATACAATAAAATAGTAAATGGGAACATTCTATAATATAAAGTCTACTGAAAGTGGGAAGCTATATAAACCAAAGCAATTGAGGGAGTAATGCAGAAAAATGAGCTAAGGCTTCGTAATTGGTAAACCAGAGGTCATGACTCTGTGCAAGCACTTATTCCATGTTAGCTTACAGTGCTCAATGCTGCCCTTCGGATTCTTATTTCTGGATCCCCATAGCACCTGGGACGATGCTTTGCATATGATAAAGATTCAGTTAACATCATTGATAGAATGGCTTTTAGAAGTTGTAATAATTTTCAGAAGCTTTGGTAAATAAATATCAAAATTCCCACTGCTTAGAAATAAATTTGACTCTCATCTTACTTTGAAATAACTTAGTTACCAATTATTGACTCCATTCTCTTATCTGAGCATTTATTGGGCACCTCATCACTCTCTATACTTTTTTTCCAACTACAGAACACAATATACAGAAAAGTATATAATTTCAGTCATAATTTTAAAATCTGGAGTCAGTGGCCTGAAAACTAACCTTAATTTAACCCTTACTCTCCCTTCCGACTTATACTACAGCCTTGTGCATGGCATGGTAGAGACTCCTTCCAGTTTGTTGAACTGACCTGAATTCAAATTTTTAGAGCAAGAACTTGAACTTAGACTTCAGTTACTAGTTAGGCTACCAATGTTCTTTGGTTCACGTAATTCACAATTAATATCCTTTCTTTCTCTAACGAATGAGACTAACAATGCAAGCCATCTATTTAATTTGAAAAGATGTTATGAAGATTCCATTCCAATTGCCATTAAACACTTGGGTATTCTCAGATGGTGTAATAGATGTAAGAATGTAAAGTACAATAACCACTGATTAAAAAATGGCCTCTGAGTTTACCTATCAATCAGCTATAGGAAAAAATAAAAAGAAACTTTAGTGTCAACTTTCCCATCTTAACTTTCTCAGTCTAAGCTTCATTTATATATACACCTAAAATATTTTTCTATAGATCATTTGCCTCTTTTACACTGAGGTTAAGGGCCTAGACAAGGAGAGGAAGATAAGAGCCTGCAAGAGGAAAAATATCTACAAAAATTAGTTTTTGTATGTGCAAATACAGAAATAAAGTAGAATATTAGTGTTATCTCTTTAAGGAGTTTGAAATGCTTTGTTCCTTGTGGTAAAAGTCTTTGCTAATCCTTAACTATACTTTAAAAAAAAAAAAGGTAAAAAGGAGAGCAACAGGCTAAAATTTCATAGTTCCCCTAATAAATAAAGCACTCAACTAAAGCAGAGGATGCTGACTTCTTGAATGTTTTACTTAGAAAATCCAAAACTGTCATAAAGCAGCCCCTCCATTTGTCATGAGGTATTAACGGGATACGGAGGGCAGAGCTGGGATGTCTAGGCCTACCCATGTGAGCTGGTTTTCCTGCTCACAGGGCCAGTGTGGGGTTATAAAGGAAGGGGAAAACTTATTTCTTCTCCTTATCTTATTAATATTCAACTCACAGTACAAATTCCACAGTACAACCTTTCAAAGACCCTAGTACACACAGAGAGATAAACAGAGTAATGCAAAGCTCTACGAATGATTTCCAATACATATAGTAACAGGGAATCATTTTCATACGGTAAGATTACGTGTGTCAAGGAAACGAGATGTAAAGGCAGCAGAATAAATATTAGCAATAGGAAATATGTCTAGAGGTGATATTTTCAGAATCACAGTCCAATACTTCCTCCCTAGGTCTACTGTGTCTGCCATTGAAGTTGAAGACATACAAGGAGCACTTGACAACTTGAGAACTGCGTTCAAGGAAAGTCTTTAACAATTCTCCTCCTCACCTCCACCCCTAGTCCTCACCTTCTCCATCTCGGAAATAGGAGGAGTCTGTTTCACTCATTCACAGGGCTCTCCAAAGAATTGCCCATAGTCCTTACCAACTTCAATTAAAAATGCCATATCAGTGCAAAGTGTTATCCTATTGTAATATTTGTATGACATGGCTCTTTCACTTTAGAATTAAAAAAAAATAGACTAGATGGTCCAAAGTGTATATTTGCATGCTAACTTCCACAGGAGGAAAGGCTATGTAAAAATTAGAGGAAAAACTATCTTGAAAACTAATTCAAGCATTCTTCTGTGTCATTGGGTGATCTCCATTTAATTAAAGAATTGTGATTGTAGAATGGGATGATGCAAACTCAAAATATATAAAAATGCTAGAAACACTTAGTCATCAATGATGATTCAGAATCAATGTGCAGGCTGGGCACAGTGGCTCACACCTGTAATCCCAACAATTTGGGAGAGCAAGGTGGGAGGATTGCATAAGCATAAGAGTTCAAGACCAGCCTGGGCAACATAGTTAGATCCTGTCTCTCGCTTAAAAAAAAAAAAAAAGAATCAATGTGCTATTTTATTTAGATGTTCTTGCTCAGTGAGGATTACTATACATTTTGCCTGTGATTGCCAGTTTTCATCATAAATAAAAAAAAATGTACAGCCTTGAAACCTTCATGGAAATAGTTTAATCTCTGAAAAGTCAGTAAGCACTTTGGTATCTTATAATGCTTCAATGTTCTTAGAATAAGTTATAATCATTATCTGGATTCACGGGTTTGAAAGATATCAAATAAATGACGGGAATTTCAATTACTACTGATCTAATGGTATGTCCTGGACTCTATTTTCTTTCTTTCTTTTTCATTTTTAAAATCCCTAATATTACCTTGTTTATTTCTCATTTGTTTTTAGTAAACAAAGATTGCAGAAAAATCAGAATGAAATTATATAGGTGGTTTTGGTTATTGGTATCTTGATTAACAGATGAAAGTTCCAGATTCTGAAGTAGTGGAAAAGAGGGGAAGTAGGGATTCTAGGCCTCTGTATGCTGGTAACCAGCCATGGGACCCTGAGTGATTCCCTTCAATTTCCTGAATATCAGATTCCCCATCAATTAAAGAAAAGTGTAACAAAAGTAACCTCCTAACAAATTTCACTTTATATGTTTTTTATGATACTTAGGGTGTAGGAAGACAATCATTTGTAAAAGTTTTTTTTTAAATGAAATTTGGCGGGAAGATGGATTACTTAAGGTCAGGAGCCTGGATTCTAGTTATCAATGCCACTAACCAGCTGAGAGACCGAGCCAAGTAAATACTTTCTGAAACAGGAAGAAGTATTAAATTAAATTAAGGTTTCAAAAGCTAAATGATTTCATGCAGGCCACCTATTAACATTTCTGGATCTCAATTTTCTCATCTAAAATGTTAAAGTGCTTAACTGGACAACCTTTAGAATCTTTTAGCTCAAAATTTCAGTGTTTCTGTATCATGTTACAAAAGTGGCCATTTTTATTATCTAGATTTGCTCTATCACTATGGTAGTCAAGTAGCCATTTTCCACACCAGTCATTATAAAGACTGATTAGCTGGCAGTAGATAGCTTCTGATTTATTTACCCATCGCTCATCAAAATAATTAATATCGTTCAGGTATTTATTGAGAGGGAACCAAATCTTGCTGATGAACCATTTCATTCATTTCTTTGTTCAGTAAATATTCTTCGAGTTTCTCTGCCTTCTTAAATGATAAATTGTTTTACCAAAATGTATTCGGCTTTAAAAAACAAAGACACTTACCTTCTTCGTGCTTCTTTAACTGTAAAATTGTGGCCATGGATATTTACCTCCATTACAGAAGGGCTTTGATGACTCATGATGTTTCTAAGGTGCATTGAGGTCCTTGATGGAAGGCGCTCCATCTGTTGCACAGTGTAATTAACATTATGAGTTTACCAAAAGAAACATAAGAGTCATTGTTAAAGAGCATCATGGGGGCTGGCTCGGCCTTTAGTCATAAGAAACTTCTGATGTAAAGGAAGGTAATAATTTATAATAGCTACTAAAAGTAACTTGGATATGAAAAGAGTTAGTTGTTTTTAAACTCAACACAGCCTTTTTATTAATTAAAGGAGTAGCCATGGTAATATCTTCAACATGTTTTATTTTTGAACTAATAAGAAAAACAATTAAGTGTCATGCTTTAGAGGCTTCTATGAAAGCTAAAGAAGGTAATATTCATACGAATTAGTCATGCTCTTCTTTAGAGAGTTCAGTTACTGCAGAGCTGGGAAATTCCTGGTCCTTTGGTCAACAGTAGAGAGATGCCTCCTCTACCATCTTTTGTATTTGCTTTACTCCTACAACACATGGCAGCAACGTCAGGGAAAAGGATATCTACTCCAGGGATCTAAGCCTGATTGCTTGACAAAGCCAAGTGAACGATTTTTCTATTTCAAGCATACTCTCTGAGTGTTAAAGAAAGCTCTAGGCAAGTTTCAGGGATCCGGAAATAGTTCCTTCTGATAGGTCAAACCTAACAGTATCATGCACATCTAGGTGTTTAGTAAAGATTGTTGATGATGTTGATGATGCCTAAGATGGTGTTAGTTATGGGAGCATGTGATTATTTTGATGACTTGGGAACAAGAGATAATTTTACTCTCAAATGAGCCACAGTTGACTGTTGTCGCCAATAAAAAAAGAGGAAGGATGGAGGCCATCATTCCAAGTGAAGTAACTCAGGAATGGAAAACCACTGTGTGTTCTCACTTATAAGTGAGAGCTAAGCTATTGGTATGCAAACACATACAGAGTGGTATAATGAGCTTTAGAGACTCAGTCAGAAGAGAGGAGGGTGGGAGGCAGGTGAGGAGTAAAAATCTACATATTGAGTTCAGTGCACATTACTTGAGGAATGAATGCACTAAAAATCTCAGACTTCACCACAATACAATTCAGCCATGTAACCAAAAACCACTTGTACCCCAAAAGTTATTGAAATTTTCAAAAGATTCAAAAAAATTATTTGTTTAATGAAAGTGGGTCAATGAGTAAAACTATGGAGTCTTTAAACAAAGTAAGAATTCCAGTAAACAAAGGAAGAATTAAAATATTTCACACAAAGCTCTCACTTCCTCTCATGGCCTAGGATAACCATGGTGTCAAGGGCCCTACAGTCTCTCCACATGTAAAATGGCGGTGCTTAGGTCTGTTGAACAAGGCGTCATTCCCACCCAACCTGCAGGAAATGTGGCGCTCCATAGGAGGTCCCCTCCCTCTGGTGACACAGCTGGGGTGCAGAGAGCAGGAGTTCGCTCTGAGGGGTCCTACAGCTCTGCCCCTTGACTCCCTGCCCAGGCTGGGCTCCTCTCCCACTGCAGAGGATCCCACTGTGGTGGTTGCCAAGTACTCACTTGTCAGCCTGTTCGCTGCCAGCCCCGTCCACCTTACCCTCCAAGAGCTACCAGATGTCCCTTCCTGAGACACAGACCTGACTGTGTCCCCTTTACATTAAACTATTCCATAGAGCCCTCTGCTCTCAGAACACAGGCTCCGATTCTGTCCTGGGACTTGAGCTCTCCCAACCCAGCCCCAGTCCCACCTTTAGACTAACATCATCCCTCCAGCGTGCCACACTCTGTCATCCCCAGGCCTTCACAGAGGCTACTCTCCTAAGCGGTCCCGTGCTCACTTAGGTGACTCCTATTCGTACTGCGGGGCTCAGCACTCTGGCTTCCAGGAAGCACCTCCTTCCACCTCACCCAGCACCAACCTGTGGCCCAGAAGACTATTCTCTGGTCCCCACTTCACCTGATGCTCATCACCGTACGAGGATAAGCTCCATAAGGGTAGGGTCTGTTTCCTTCTGCATCTGTGACATGATCTCAACCATATGAGAAAGGAAAACCCCTACAAGAGAAGAAAAATATCCCCCTCATCCCCACCATAACTGAGACGAATCATTCAGAGTTTTTTTAAAAAAGGAATGGAATATTTTCAATGTAGACATTAGGAGGTCTTTGAAAGCCAAAATTCATTGCAGATTTTCAAACTACAAACGAAAATGCCATTGAGGCACCGTACAGGTTTAAGTAGCTAAGAAACCATCAATCTCTATGACCCACCTAGATAAAAAGCACTTTTTATTAAAAAAAGAAAATGTTCTTGGGGCCAAAAGTGAAAAAACCATAGTGAAATATATCCAGTCATGATTAGTCCATGTGTTACCCTGACATCACAAAGAGCCACTGTGGGCCACGCAAGGTGGCTCACGCCTGTAATCCCAGCACTTTGGAAGGCCAAGACAGGTGGATCACGAGGTCAGGAGATCAAGACCATCCTGGCTAACACGGTGAAACCCCGTCTCTACTAAAAATACAAAAAATTATCCCAGTATGGTGGCGGGCACCTGAAGTCCCAGCTACTTGGGAGGCTGAGGCTGGAGAATCGCTTGAACCCGGGAGGCGGAGGTTGTTGTGAGCCAAGATCGCACCACTGCACTCCAGCCTGGTGACAGAATGAGACTCCATCTCAAAAAAAATTAAATCAAATTAAATTAAAAAAAAAACAGTCACTGTGATGGAATTACACACATCTATATAAGGCCCCAACTGGGCCTAGGTTTTTGGTTCGCGTAGATCAGGAAGCTGTTTTTGGTAACCTGTGGACTCTGATTGTATCTAGCTTGTTTTCTCCTTGTTGTTGCTGGTTTTTTTTTTTTTTTTTTCCTATCTTTTCCTCTTTTCTCTACATTTTTTCTTTTTTTCCCCCTTTTTTCCTTCATTTTTCAATTTATTTTTTCTTTTCTGTTTCCTTTCTCTTATTTCTTTCATTTTCTTTTCTTTATTTTTGTTTTTCTCATGTTTATTTTTATTTTCTCACTTTATTATTTTTTCTTTTTCCCATTTCATCTATTTTCTTTGCAATTTTTCTCACTTTTTTCTTTTTTCCCATTTAACTTTTTTAGTTAGGATTTCTAGTGCAGTTAGTATAGTTAGTATTGTTGGTTTGTATTGTTAGCATAGTTATTATTAGCATACTAATAATACTTAGTAGTATTAGCAAAGTTAATACAATTGGTGGAGTCTATTAGCAGTGTTAGCCTAGCTAGTACAGTTGGCATTGTTCATGAGTTAGCATAGCTTGCATAGGTAGGATTTGTAGTTAGGAGGCACCATGTAGCAGAGTTTGGCCTCCAACTCACCTAGGGAGGAGATCAAAAAGTACATGCTCCTCAAGACCATTGGCAGGGGCGTGTTCGTCAAGGTGAAGCTAACAGGGCACATACTGACTGGGACACAGGTGGTTACAAAAATCATCTATAAAATGAGTGGCTTCCCTAGCCTCTCTCTACAGAAAGAGGTAGAAATCATGAAGGTCCCGAATCACCTGAACATCATTAAACTCAACCAGGTGATTGGCAGGTGGACA